>NW_003315918.1:0-101241 GCF_000001405.40 Homo sapiens
AAGCTTGTGGGTAAGATGTAGGTTCTGGAGCCAGGCTGCCTGGGCTAGAATTTTGCTTCATCACATTATTGCTGTGTGACCTTAGTTAGATAGGGTATTTATTCACGGTGTTCCTGAGTTTTCTCATCTGGAAATTGGGATAATTACACTAATTGTCTCATAGGGGTACTGTGAAAATTAAATGCATGTAAAACCCTTAGAACCAGTGGTTGGTACGTAGGGAGCCCTCAAATGTTAGCCGTAACAAATGTTAGCTGTTTTAATTATCCCTATCAATATAATCATTGTTTCTGGCTGACTTTATAGATAGCTTATAGAAGAAAACATTGTCAGTGAAAAATTCCAGATCTTAAGTATAAGTTTGAGAGAAATACAAGAGGGAAGGGAAGTATTTGAAGCTCTGTTAGTTCATTATGAATGAATGCTTCTGTAGTTTGTGGTTTGGAAGACTAAGATATTGACATTTTTATTGACTAAATTTTTAGCAGTGATAAAAGTTGCTTGACTTGAGTTTTTAAAATCTAGGAATTTATTGCTGGCTGAATAAAAAGTTAATATGATAATAGGTATTTTGTGACCCAGGCTACAGTATATTTACCAATCCTGAAAATTGCAAATATACAAGAGCAGTATACTGTCTGCTACTAGAATACTGGATTATGCTTTCAAAAATAGCAAACTTGCAATCTCCTTTCCTCCCACACTCGTTCCCACCACTAGGATTCATATGTAATGAAATGAAACATCTTATCAGAAACTTTAATAATCTTGTCTTTTTATATTAGTTTGGATTTGCATATTTATTGTTTTCTTACTTACATATGTACCTATACATTTATTTTATTCTAAAGATGTGTTCTTTAGTTATAAATGGTTGTAAGTCAATTTGGGTCTCTCTTTAGTCACTCTTTTCATACATTTTCATCGGGAAAGAGCAAAGACAAAGATTCACTGTGGAAGGTTAATATAAGGGGGTACATAATATAGCTGTGTGTACTGTGTTTGCAGTACATTGTTTAATTGTGTCTTAATTAATTTTCTATTAAATGTAAACTAGTGTATGTCATGTGTTATATACCTTCTTCTTGTTTTGAATGGAATTATTAAACTTCTTGTAATCAGAGATCAAATTATACCAGGTAGATGGTTGTCCCACCCCCTGGCAGTGTTCTTACAGAGTATGTGGGTAAAAATTCTTGTACGGTTATGAATAAAAGGGATATTTTAGAAATGAAGTTTTGTTTCTAAAAAGGATGGTAATTTTCATGCACATAAAACTAAGAAAATCCACCTTATGTGTTCTCACCTCCATTTTATCCTCTTGCATATTCTGCTAGTGGCCATGTAAACTGCTGTACTTATTGTATTAGTTGCTGATTTTCATTTTCCAACATACCAAGTACTCTTTCCTTGAATGATTTATGTTAGACAGCATTGGCTCATGGCAACAGACAGTTTTAGAAAATCATCATCTGGAATGTATATAAAATGATCTTGTTTGTCAGTCTACCTAGGTTGTTAATGTCAAATTAGATGGGCAAATTGCCAAATTATTGTTAGAATTGAGCTATATTTGCTACAGTGCTTAATCCTTGGGAATTAAATCAGTTCCATTGACAGTATGGGGCCAAATATATATGATTTTAGCTTGCTCTGCCCTATCTAGATACTTTTTTTGTCAAAGCAAAGACAGAAAAAATGAGAATTAAGAATATGACTCTACACATTCTTAATAGGAAAATTAGGGAAAATAGGAATGAGTGCCTAAGAAATAAAAAAATAGGGAAAAATAGGAATGGAGCGCCTAAGAAATAGAAATGTTAAAGTGTGAAAGTAGATCCTAGACCCAGACTGTGTAGGTTCAGATCTCAGCTCTGCTACTTATTTAAGGGCAAATACAAATTAAAAATTGGAGGCTTAATTCTTCTTCTTAAAAATAAGGGAAAAGATTTCTACCCCTTCCCTTTTCTTAGAGCATTTACTTTAGAAAACTTGTAATTGCACATTCTTTATCTCTTTGAAATCTATATACATCTTTTTAAAAACTAAATAAGGCTCTGGTGAGTTCTGTGACCCAGGAATGTCTTTCTCAAGGATCAGAGAACAGAGAACCATCTTTTTGAAATGCAATCAAGGAAGATAGTGCCCCTATCTTCCAGTTTTTGTGGGAGGGTAGCAGCCTAACTTCAGTGGGGGATTCTTAGTTCCTAAATTACCTTCTGTCATAGAGATAGGAGAAGTTAATTTTTCCTTTGGGTAAAGCCAATTAGTAACACACATGGTCACCCCAATACCAGGCTAATTTAGGATGAACTGTGCATGACAAATGGTGCTGTCAAGTCCCCTTCCTTGAGGACTAGTCATTGTTTATCTTGAGAACATGTATGTATGGGTTGTATCTGCTTGGCTATATAAATATAAAAAGGGTACGATTTCTTTCTGTCTTTGTAATCTCTTAGCAGATTGCCTGTGATGTATGATATTCTGCTTTGATGCTTATTCAATAATAAAATTGTATTCTTTCTCTTCTACCTTTGTGGAGAAGTTTTCTGGGTTGGGAAAAGATTTTGTTTTTAATTATATGCACTCAACACTTACTAGATATGTGATTTGGGGTAAGTTTCTGAATCTCTTTGCACCTCAGTTTCCTTATCTATTAATTGTGGATAATAGTATCTATTATTACTGTTGTTTATAGAATTATTGTGAGGATTGGATGACTAAATATACATAAACTGCTTAGAACAGAGCCAGGTACTATAATAGTAAGCACCATATATTACTTATTATTACTATAAGAGAAATTTTGCTTGTTTTAAATTCTGGTTCCTTCTCAACTACAGTGTATTCCCAGGGATATTTCAAGAGCAAACATAAATAATATTAATATAGGGAATCCCCTAGCAAGATAAGAAATCTCAACTTAAACTCCACCATCCACATGTATTTATGGAGTTACTTTCCCTAAATTTGAGAAACGTGTTTAAAAAAATTACTCTTCTAGTGAGTAATTCTTTCTTAATTTCTTTCATTCTTTCATAATGACTCATGAAATCCAAATCTGTACCATGCTATGAGTACCTGCATGATCTGGCCTCTGCCTCCTTCTTCAACCTGAACCTCTTGACTATTCTCGTCCCTCCCACCTTCTATGAGAAGTAGGCATACTGACATTCTTTAGGTTCCTCTAATGGTCAAGCTTGTTCTCACTTCAGGGTCTTTGCGCTTGCTTTCCCTTCTGCTTGCAAAGTGCTTATTTCAGATATTTGATTGCTGGCCCCTTTCTATTGCCAGGTGGGAGATAAAGTAACCCCTTCTCATAGAAGCTTCTCCTAAACCTCACCAGCCGCCCATGCTCTTTCTTGCTTCTGCTGTTTTATAGCACTTGTCTCTGTCCGAAATTCTCGTCTGTGTTTGCTAAATCTGTGTTTACCAAAAGTAAGTTTCATGAGAGCATGGGCTTTCTTTGCTAAATCTCTGCTTCCTAGTTCAGTGCCTGGAGCATAATAACATCTCAATAAGGATGCATGAATTAGTGAGTGAATAAAATAAGCTATTCTTATCAACTAGTCCTTGACTGATTTAACAGATATTTGTTGAGTAGCTCATATACTACATACTGAGGAGATTCAGCATTTTCCATGTAAGCCTACCTATTAGTAGTGTTAAGACATATTTATGCACTTTAAAAATATAATAATAAAGCTATAAGGAAAAAGTAGAAAATGAAAATATCATTAAAGAGGAAAGCATTTTTGTGCTAAGTATTGTTCTAGGCATTTCACATAAGTTATTCTGTTTAAATTGTACTCAAGAACGCTTCCATTTTTATATCATTGTATTCATTTTTATAGAGGAGAAAAAGAAATCCAAAAGTTAAATAACTGGCTTACAGTTGCCCAGCTAGGATGTGGATGGACCAAAATTCAAACTTATATCAGCCTGACTCTAAATCTTATTTTCTTTGCATTATACTAAACATAAAAACCGTCTCCTCTCCTCTGTCAAAAACTGTGAAGGGTCTGAAATGTTATTATACTTGCAAGCTAACCAGTTAGCCACCACAGTTTCATGTATACTGACACACAACACGAAGTTCCTGGATTAGAAACAAAGGACTTTATGATTCCTGACATAACAATAATATGAGCTTCACATTCATGTTCATTCCCTCAGCCCCCAAGTCCCATGGGGCGATGCAGAGTGGCTCAGGTAGTTGCTGTACATCTGAATCACACAGAAAACTTGAGCTTAGGGAACTCAACATTTCGTAACAGGCTACAAATAAATGTGCCCTTTGCTTATCTTCATTATTTTTATTTTATTATTTTTTTATTATACTTTTAAGTTCTAGGGTACATGTGCACAACGTGCAGGTTTGTTACTTAGGTAAACATGTGCCATGTTGGTTTGCTGTACCCATCAACTCGTCATTTACATTAGGTATTTCTCTTAATGCTATCCCTCTCCCAGGCCCCCACTCTCCCACAGGCCCTGGTGTGTGATGTTCCCCGCCCTGTGTCCATGTGTTCTTGTTGTTCAACTCCCACGTATGAGTGAGAGCATGCGGTGCTTGCTTTTCTGTCCTTGTGATAGTTTGCTTAGATTGATGGTTTCTAGCTTCATCCATGTCCCTGCAAAGGATATGAACTCATCCTTTTTTATGGCTGCATAGTATCCCATGATGTATATGTGCCACATTTTCTTAATCCAGTCTATCACTGATGGACATATGGGATCATTCCGAGTCTTTGCTATTGTGAATAGTGTCACAGTAAACATACGTGTGCAAGAGTCTTTATAGTAGCATGAGTTATAATCCTTTGGGTATATACCCAGTAATGTGATCGCTGGGTCAAATGGTATTTCCAGTTCTAGATCCTTGAGGAATTGCCACACTGTCTTCCACAATGGTTGAACTAATTTACACTCCCACCGACAGTGAAAAGCGTTCCTATTTCTCCACATCCTCTCCATCATCTGTTGCTTCCTGAATTTTTAATGATCGCCATTCTAACTGGCGTGAGATGGTATCTCATTTTGGTTTTGATTTGCATTTCTCTGATGACCAGTGATGATGAGCATTTTTTCATATGTTTTTTGGCCACATAAATGTCTTCTTTTGAGAAGTATCTGTTCATATCTTTCACCCACTTTCTGATGGGGTTTTTTTTAATTGTAAATTTGTTTAAGTTCTTTGTAGATTCTGAATATTAGCCCTTTGTCAGATGGGTAGATTGCAAAGATTTTCTCCCATTCTGTAGGTTGCCTGTTCACTCTGATGATAGTTTCTTTTGCTGTTCAGAAGCTCTTTAGTTTAATTAGATCCCATTTGTCTATTTTGGCTTTTGTTGCCATTGCTTTTGGTATTTTAGTCATGAAGTCTTTACTCATGCCTATGTCCTGAATGGTATTGCCTAGGTTTTCTTCTAGGGTTTTTATGGTGTTAGGTCTTACATTTAAGTCTTTAATCCATCTTGAGTTAATTTTTGTATACGGTGTAAGGAAGGGGTCCAGTTTCAGCTTTCTACCTATGGTTAGCCAGTTTTCCCAGCACCATTTATTAAACAGGGAATCCTTCCTCCATTGCTTGTTTTTGTCAGATTTGTCAAAGCTTAGATGGTTGTAGATGTTATTTCTGAGGCCTCTGTTCTGTTCCATTGGTCTATATATCTGTTTTGGTACCATACCATCCTGTTTTGGTTACTGTAGCCTTGTAGTATAGTTTGAAGTCAGGTAGCGTGATGCCTCCAGCTTTGTTCTTTTTGCTTAGGATTGTCTTGGTTATGTGGGCTCTTTTTTGGTTCCATCTGAATTTTAAAGTAGTTTTTTCCAATTCTGTGAAGAAAGTCAGAGGTAGCTTGTTGGGGATAGCATTGAATCTATAAATTACCTTGGGCATTCTGGCCATTTTTACGATATTGATTCTTCCTATCCATGAGCATGGAATGTTCCTCCATTTGCTTGTGTCCTCTTTTATTTCATTGAGCAGTGGTTTGTAGTTCTCCTTAAAGAGATCCTTCACATCCTGTGTAACTTGGATTCCTAGGTATTTTATTCTCTTTGTAGTAATTGTGAATAGGAGTTCACTCATGATTTGGCTCTCTGTCTATTATTGGTGTATAGGAATGCTTGTGATTTTTGCACATTGATTTTGTATCCTGAGACTTTGCTGAAGTTGCTTATCAGCTTAAGGAGATTTTGGGCTGAGACGATGGGGTTTTCTAAATATATGATTATGTCATCTGCAAACAGAGACAATTTGACTTCCTCTTTTCCTAGTCGAATACCCTTTATTTCTTTCTCTTGCCTGATTGCCCTGGCCAGAACTTCCAATACTATGTTGAATAGGAGTGGTGAGAAAGGGCATCCTTGTCTTGTGCCAGTTTTCAAAGGGAATGCTTCCAGCTTTTGCCCATTCAGTATAATATTGGCTGTAGTTTTGTCATAAATAGCTCTTATTATTTTGAGATATGTTCCATCAAAACCTAGTTTATTGAGAGTTTTTAGCTGTTGAATTTTGTTGAACGAGACAGAAGGTTAACAAGGATATCCAGGACTTGAACTCAGCTCTGCACCAAGCATACCTAATAGATATCTACAGAACTCTATACCCCAAATCAACAGATCATACATTCTTCTCAGTACCACATCACACTTATTCTAAAATTGACCACATAATTGGAAGTAAAACACTCCTCAGCAAATGTAAAAGAATAGAAATCACAACAAACTGTCTCTCACACCACAGTGCAATCAAATTAGAACTCAGGATTAAGAGACTCACTCAAAATCGCACAACTACATGGAAACTGAACAACCTGCTCCTGAATGACTACTGGGTAAATAACAAAATGAAGGCAGAAATAAAGATGTTCTTTGAAACCAATGAGAACAAAGACACAATGTACCAGAATCTCTGGGACCCATTTAAAGCAGCATGTAGAGGAGAATTTATAGCACTAAATGCCCACAAGAGAAAGCAGGAAAGATCTAAAATCGACACCCTAACATCACAATTAAAAGAACTAGAGAAGCAAAAGAAACAAATTCAAAAGCTAGCAGAAGCAAGGAATAACTAAGATCAGAGCAGAACTGAAGGAGACAGAGACACAAAAAAACCCTTCGAAAAATCAATGAATCCAGGAGCTGGTTTTTTGAAAAGATAAACAAAATAGGTAGACCACTAGCAAGACTAATAAAGAAGAAAAGAGAGAAGAATCAAATAGATGCAATAAAAAATGATACAGGGGACATCACCACCGATCCCACAGAAATACAATCTACCATCAGAGAATACTATAAACACCTCTATGCAAATAAACTAGAAAATCTAGAAGAAAGGAATAAATTCCGGGACACATAACACCCTCCCAAGACTGAACCAGGAAGAAGTTGAATCTCTTAATAGACCAATAACAGATCTGAAATTGAGGCAATAATTAATAGCTTACCAACCAAAAAAAGTCTAGGACCAAATGGATTCACAGCTGAATTCTACCAGAGGTACAAAGAGGAGCTGGTACCATTTCTTCTGAAACTATTTCAATCAATAGAAAAAGAGGGAATCCTCCCTAACTCATTTTATGAGGCTGTCATCACCCTGATACCAAAGCCTGGTAGAGACACAACAAAAAAAGAGAATCTTAGGCCAATATCCCTGATGAACATTGATGCAAAAATCCTCAATAAAATACTGGCAAATTGAATCCAGCAGCACTTCAAAAAGCTTATCCACCATGATCTGTCTAATATTGACAGTGGGGTGTTAAAGTCTGCCATTATTATTGTGTGGGAGTCTAAGTCTCTTTGTAGGTCTCTAAGGACTTGCTTTATGAATCTGGGTGCTCCTGTATTGGGTGCATATATATTTAGGATAGTTAGCTCTTCTTGTTGAATTGATCTCTTTACCATTATGTAGTGGCCTTCTTTGTCTCTTTTGATCTTTGTTCATTTAAAGTCAGTTTTATCAGAGATTAGGATTGCAACCCCTGCTTTTTATTTTTTTTTTGCTTTCCATTTGCTTGGTATATCTTCCTCCATCCCTTTATTTTGAGCCTATGTGTGCCTTTGCATGTGAGATGGGTCTCCTGACTCTTTATCCTATTTACCAGTTTATGTCTTTTAATTGGGGCATTTCGTCCATTTACATTTAAGGTTAACATTGTTATGTTTGAATTTGATCCTGTCATTATGATGTTAGCTGGTTATTTTGCCTGTTAATTGATGGAGTTTCTTCATAGCGTCAATGGTCTTTACAATTTGGCATGTTTTTGCAGTGGCTGGTACTAGTTATTCCTTTCCATATTTAGTGTTTCCTTCAGGAGCTCTTGTAATGCAGGCCTGGTGTTGACAAAATCTCTCAGCATTTCTTGTCTGTAAAGGATTTTATTTCTCCTTCACTTAGGAAGCTTAGTTTGGCTGGTTATGAGATTCTGGGTTGAAAATTCTTTTCTTTAAGAATGTTGCATATTGGCTCCCACTCTTCTGGCTTGTAGGGTTTCTGCCGAGAGATCCGCTGTTAGTCTGATGGGCTTCCCTTTGTGGGTAACCCGACTTTTCTCTCTGGCTGCGCTTAACATTTTTTCCTTCATTTCAACCTTGGTGAATTTGACAATTATGTGTCTTGGGGTTGCTCTTCTCCAGGAGTATCTTTGTGGTGTTTTCTGTATTTCCTGAATTTGAATGTTGGCCTGCCTTGCTAGGTTAGGGAAGTTCTCCTGGATAGTATCCTGAAGAGCGTTTTCTAGCTTGGTTCCATTCTCCCTGTCACTTTCCGGTACACCAATCAAATGTAGATTTGGTCTTTTCACATAGTCTCATATTTCTTGGAGGCTTTGTTCATTTCTTTTCACTCTTTTTTTTTTTCTAATCTTGTCTTCATGCTTTATTTCATTAATTTGATCTTCAGTCACTGATATCCTTTCTTCCACTTGATCAAATTGGCTATTGAAACTTGTGCATGCATCACAAAGTTCTCGTGCTGTGGTTTTCAGCTCCATCAGGTCATTTAAGGTCTTCTCTACACTGTTTATTCTAGTTAGCCATTTGTCTAACTTTTTTCAAGGTTTTTAGTTTCCTTGCGATGGGTTAGAACATGCGCCTTTAGCTCGGAGAAGTTTCTTAGTATGGACCTTCTGAAGCCTACTTCTGTCAACTTGTCAAAGTCATTCTCCATCCAGCTTTGTTCCCTTGCTGGCGAGGAGCTGTGATCCTTTGGAGGAGAAGAGGTGCTCTGTTTTTTGGAATGTTCAGCTTTTCTGGTCTGGTTTCTCTCCATCTTTGTGGTTTTATCTACCTTTGGTCTTTGATGTTGATGTTGGTGACCTACAGATGGGGTTTTGGTGTGGATGTCCTTTTTGTTGATGCTATTCCTTTCTGTTTGTTAGTTTTCCTTCTAACAGACCCCTCAGCTGTAGGTCTATTGGAGTTTGCTGGAGGTCCACTCCAGACCCTGTTTGCCTGGGTATCACAGGTGGAGGCTGCAGAACAGCTAATATTGCTGCCTGATCCTTCCTCTGGAAGCTTCATCCCAGAGGGGCACCTGCCTGTTTGAGGTGTCTGTCAGCCCCTACTGGGAGGGGTTTCCCAGTCAGGCGACACTTGAGGAGGCAGTCTGACCGTTCTTGGAGCTCAAACGCCATGCTGAGAGAACCTCTGCTCTCTTCAGAGCTGTCAGATGGGGACGTTTACATCTGCAGAAGCTGTCTGCTGCCTTTTGTTCTGCTATGCCCTGCCCCCAGAGGTGGAATCTATAGAGCCAGTAGGCCTTGCTGAGCTGCGGTGTGCTCCACCCAGTTCATGCTTCCCAGCAGCTTGGTTTACACTGTGAGCTACTTAAGCCTCAGCAATGGCAGATGTCCCTCCTCCCGTCAAGCTGCAGTGTCACAGATTGATCGCAGACTGTTGCGCTAGCAGTGAGCAAAGCTCTGTGGGCATAGGACCTGCCAAGCCAGGCATAGGAGGGTATCTCCTGGTCTGCCGGTTGCTAAGACCATGGGAAAAGAGCAGTATTTGGTCAGTAGTGTACCATTTCTCCAGGTACAGTCTGTCACGGCTTCCCTTGGCTAGGAAAGGGAAATCCCCCCACCCCTTGTGCTTCCCGGGTGAGGTGATGCCCCGCCCTGCTTTGGCTCATCCTCCGTGGGCTGCACCCACTGTCCAACCAGTCCCAATGAGATGAACCAGGTACCTCAGTTGGAAATGCAGAAATCACCTGTCATCTGCGTCGATCTTGCTGGGAGCTATAGACCGATATACAGATGTACATTTATACTTCAGTTTGTTCATGCATTCACCTGTTAATGGACCTTTGAGCTGTTTCTACTTTTGTATTCCTATTCAGCCATCTTGGAAGCAACCTATTACATTTAATAAAGGGAGGCATTATCCTTAGGAGACTGTACGTTAAAAATATCTTCTCTCTACTCTGTAGGGAGATACTCTCTCTGTCTTTTAAGGTTGCACTGTATAAACATCCTAGAGATGATTTTCTAGAACACCGGCATCCAGTTAGTGTCAATATGTGAAAGGCGAGGCACCAGTGGAGAATCGTCTTCGAATACTCTCTGTGTTTCCTCTTACAGTAAATGGTATCACCATTGTCTTGGTTGCCCAAGACAGAAAGCTGGCCATCTTGTTTAGTTCTCATTCTTTATTCATTCATCTCTTTATTTAACTTAGTCTTAACTTTCCCTGCTTGCCACTTCCAATCCATCACCAAATTCTTCCCATCTTACCTTTTTAATATCTCTTGGACTCGTTCACCTTTTTATTCAGAAGCAACCTTGGTTTTCAGTCCCTGTCATCTCGAGTGGATTACTAAAATGGTGTCTCTCTCTCCAGTTTTGTCTTATCTAACGTGTTCTCCAACTAGAGCCAGAATTTTCTTTTCTCCTGCTTTCTTAAAATGTCACTGATTCCTCATTGCTCTCAGGACAAAGTCTAACATCCCTGTAATGACATATTAGACCCTTTGTGGTCTGGCTCCTACCTATCTTATTTCTCAACACTACTTCCTCAGACTCTATGCTCCATTCATGCTGTGGTTCCCCAGGTTCCGTGATGACTCTTTTCAGAGTGCTGAACGTCCCTCTTTTTCCTCACATGTCTACCTCTTTCTCCTCTTTAAGTCTCAGCCCAAATATCACTTCTTCTAACTGGACTCACCTCATTTGTTCTCCTTCTTTCTAAAACCACAGATGTATGCCATCTATTGTTCTGGGTCTGAAAACTTATATTTTTCCAATTTTATATTTCCCTCTTTTTTTCTATTTTAAATCAGTCTCATCTTTTCTTATCATTGGGAATTTTCTGTGAATTCTACTTATCCGTTACTTTCGTAGTTTGTCCTGATCACATCATCAGAGACAGATGTCTAACAAAGCCAAATTTCCCTTGTATCACAGTCTTAAGAGGAAGTCAGGGTCCTCATGTCATGTCTCTGTGTCCCTCCTAGTGCTGGGATTCATCTTGCTTATGGATTCACATGTCCTAAATAGTGGAAGTTCTAATTTTCACAGGACCTTTAGTGACTTTTTATGGGGGTGGCATTTTATGAGCAGATAGTTTTTAAAAACAGGTTTATTGCAGCATAATTATCAGACAATTTCACATGTTAAAAGTACACAGCTTAATGAATTGTGACGTGTACATCCATGTAAAATCATCACCACATCAAGATAACAAACATTTTGATGGCTCTAGAAAATTTCCTTGTGCTCCCCTTTAATCTCTCTCTGCCTTCATCCCTTTCCCTAGGCTACCACTGATCTGACTTATGTCACCTAGATTTAATTTTCAATTCCTAGAATTTTATATAAGTGAGATGAAAAAGTATACGTCCTTTTTATTAGGAAGTTTGGATTTTTATCACTCAGTGTAATAATTTTAAGATTTATTCATGGCATTTAATAGTTCATTCTTTTTTCTTGCTGAGTAGTATTCCAACGTACAGATATACTTCAATTTGTTTATGCATTCACCTGTTAATGGACCTTTGGGCTGTTTCTACTTTTATGTTATTACAAATAAGGCCAGAAATATAAAATTTATTATTACTTCCAATAGAATATTCTCTTATTGCATCTCACAATTTTGTATTTGAGGGCTCTTGTTCAAAAAGTGACCTTTAAAAAGATGCCAACCATTAGAAAATTTTCAGAATCTCAAATTTCCAAATGACTGAGTTTGGATAATAGTTTTCCACTTTGTATTTTTATTTCTCTCTTTTTAGTAATCCCTCGCCAGAAATAAGTAGGAAACACAAAAGGGAAAAAAGGTAAAGAAAAATGTAACAAACTAGATAAATCAATCTAGTTTTTGTTGGTTAGAAGATAAATCTATTCATTTCTTAGTTAAAAATAGCTACAAGGTTGTTAGTTTTAAATGAATAAGGAGGACCACTTCATTTGAATGAAATGATGATAAGCATTTCTCTGAGGACTTTTTTTCTCACTAAGCCTTTGCATAGGCGTTTTGATTCATAAAGGTGTTGACGTTCATTAAACTTTATACTCATTTTATATTTTTATTTTCTTTGCCTATTTTCACTCAGTGAGAGACTGTGGTTCAGTGTTTCCTTTTTTGGAAAGCATGTAACTTTCTAGCTTTTCAGACTATTTTGCTTTGCGGAATTGTGCTTTAAATCTCCCCCAGAAGGGGAAGTGACTCATTTCTATACAGTAGCATGTAGGTGTTTGATGAATGTTGCTGCCAGGTAGAAATAGACTGTAATGCCAGTGTAAATGGAGTTTTACAGCTACTAAAATTTGAAGGATTTCAATTTTCTTAGGAATTTAATTGGGGAAAATTACTTCAGAAGTTTGCAGGAGCACTATGTTCTGAGGGAGAACTTTGAGCAAATAGAAATATGGTATAAATGTTATGAAATTGCTAACAGCCTAATGTAAGAATAATGTGGTCTTTGAGATGCTTTCCCCCACTAAAATATTGGCTAAGCTTTAGCAGGATGAGGCTCTAGGTGTAGTTTAAAACTTCTGGCTCTTGTGAATTCAGAGGAATCTCCAAGTCTATGTGTTTTTCAAGCTGCTATGGTTTAAAGGAAATGAGTTGTACAGTTATCTTCCTATGCAGACTTCTTAATGTTCTAAAAATAATGGCATTATCCTCATTTTAGAGACCATAAGTTGAGTTACAAATATGACATTGTCCTGCAAAGCAGCTGCCATACTGAGATGTGAGAAAGATCTTGACTTGTGTGGAAAGACTGATGTCAATGTTTTGGATGCACATTTCCCACATGGATAGGGTTTACTGAATATGAAGGATAATAATAGAGAAGATATTTGGCTAATTAAAAGTTTCTTTTCCTAATAAAGCTAGATTTCAATAGTTATAACTGTACCTAGAGCAATACCTTATTATATAGTATGTGCTCAATAAGGTTTCATAAAAATAAATGAATTTAAAACAAAGTACCCCCCAAAATTAGAATCTCTGGTTGGTTTAGAATAAAAGATGGTAAATAATTTTATAGTATAAAATATCCTACTAGGATATTTTCTAATATGTAGTCTCTCTCAATTAAAATGAAGAAAAGAGGTGGGTGGAGAGAGAGAGGGAGAGAGAGAGAGAAGACAACAAAAAAGGAAATACGAGGATTTAACTAGTCAGAATTTAAGCTGTAAGTATGAAAAGAATGTGGATAATAAAAGGAAGATAAGAGATTCTAAAGGTAGAGGAATGTTTAGATTAAACCTAAAATGGCACACTGCTAAGACTTCAGTGTACATGACCAAGTTTTAAACCTGCCAGCCTATACACACCTAACAAAGATCTCACAAAAATAAGCCTGCACTGATTTGATAGATATGTTTGCTGAATATTTTTAAAAGTCTGTTGAATATTCACTATTTGTCAAACACTATCCTAGACAAATAAGGTAAAGCATCTACCCTCAAAAGGTCCATAGTGCAGTGAGGGGAACAGAAGCAGACCAGAAATTACTGTCAAGGGCTTAGGGATGGATTGAAGTTCAGCCTTGGCCTCACTGCTCCACCCAAACCTTGAGAAGTTCTCAGCCTTTGAAAGCTCAAGAGCAAATGCCCACCTTCACTTTGTTTCTGCCATCCCTGAACTTGCGTGTGAACACCAGGTTAGCATCATATCTAATCTATACTACTACATCTCTTATGTGTGCAAGGCATGATTCTCAAACTTAAGGTCAGTATCTGAATATCAGCTTTTAAATGCAGGTAAGCATTGTAGATATAACCTAAAATGAAAATAGCCTTATGTTATTTTTATGTCAAATGTTGAATTCCAAAAAATTAAATAGAAATAGGCAAATTGTACAAACATTAAGAGATACTGATTTCGCTAGTTAACTATATGAAGAACATTATATGTTTTCAATACATATACAGTTATAAAAATTATGAAATTTGTATGTAAATAAATATATATTATAAAAGTTTAAATGCCAATGCAAAGAATAATAATACAGATGAGATCATAGTATATTTCCAACCTTTGTAGAATCGTTAACCCATATAGAAAACTTTATGACTCAAAATTTCATGAGGAGGAAAAATTGGATAAAAATGTGTAATAACATATGTAAGAAATCTTCAATTTGACATAATAAAAAAATTAAAAATGTGAAGAAGAAAATGTTAGAAAAAGTGTGAGGAGAGAGATACAGTGGTATAATAAAATGAAGAGCCTCATAGGAAGAGAGATCATCTGTCCTAATCAACTATCAAAAGCAAGTGACCCTCACCTCTTTCCACCCTCTCAGTCCTTTAGAAATTAGAAAAGCAAAGAAGAGAGTAGTAAACATGTACCCAGGAGTTTCTGTAACTTAATACTGGAAAATACCTATATCAAGAGAAAATAATTAGCAAAGTCATTGAACATCTTTAACCCAAGCCAGGTAGCCTCTGAATTAAGACATTTAGTCTTCAATTACAGACCTCTAGGAATGACTCCTGTTTCTGTTTTGTTTGATTTTCACAAGTCTTATAATTCATCCCCAGAACTAGACTCATCAGATATGT
Organism: Homo sapiens; assembly: GCF_000001405.40. NCBI lineage: Eukaryota > Metazoa > Chordata > Mammalia > Primates > Hominidae > Homo > Homo sapiens. The sequence continues at coordinate 15,021 of NW_003315918.1, forward strand.
CTGGTGGCAACATCTTTAATTAAACTCTTTATTAAAATCTACAGCTGTCAAAATAAATAAACCTTAAAGCACAGAAATAAATTTGAGAGGGCTTTTCCATTAAGGCATTACCTGGAAGAGATTTTTCCAGAAAATTGAGTGCTCGGACAATGATCACTGTCATAATTTGGGCTAATTGTGGTCATAGAAAGTTTAGGAACTTGAAAACCCCCAAAGCCTAAACTGATTTAAGACTGCCTATTCTGTTTCTGCGCGTCTTCAGGAGATTTCTCCAGGGTGCTTAGATGTGCATCATAACATTTTCAGAATTTTGCCACTGGAGGGCTCAATGGCCTTTTTAATGTTTCTTCTACGAGACCAAATGTTACGTTTGTGTAACAGTGAGATGTGAGACCAAGTTTTTTCTCCCCTTTTTGAGAAAATCTGTTTTGGGTGGTACAGTTAGATGCATGATAGCCAAAAAGCTTTTGTAAATTCCCTGAAAGATGGAAATTTGTCATAGCTACATGTATACTGAAATCAAAAAGGATGCCATTCATCTCTCCCCAGAGAATACAAGGGAATTGAGATTATACCGAGCAAGGCTTGTGCTGAGTTAGATGTGCTGCATATACGCGGTGTGCTTGTGTATGTATGCTGGTGGCAGTGTGGAAGGTGGTGGAATAGTGAGGGCTTAGGGGTCTGTAGTCATCCAGGAATTGTATGATTAATGTAGTTGGTATGAGAATGAGAATAATTTTAAGGACTAATTGGAAGAATATGAGGCTTGGTATCAGGCGACTAGTGATCATGCATTGTTCCAGGATTCCTGCTGCATGTTCGGTTATAAAGGTTGTGACGGCAGTTCTGCTTTTCCTGAATGAGCTATGTGTGCCTGTGGTCCAACCTCTCTGAGGCTGGTCCTGGATCCTGGACTGAGCAAGTGAACTCTGATATGAGTGACACATTGATTTGGCATCTGCGTAATTTTTTGTGATGTTTAGGAGTAACAATGAGGTGTTATGAAAAAAGTTGGAAACAGTGTTAGCCCCCATGCAAAAGTATAAAATCAACATAAAGCAGAGAGATAGAAATATCAGAATGCCTCTCCCAGAATGTAGCAAAAACGCAATTCTATTACATTTGGTATATGATTAAGAGTTAACTATAAACTAACTGAAAGATTCACGTATTTAATGATTAATAATAATATACCAATCCAAAGACAGATGGCTGCTCAGACTGAAACCTCCTTGCAGGTAGCGGAGAGTCAGAGAAAGAAACTGTGGAGAGGCTGGCCTAAGAACTGCCCAAGGAGACCGGCATGGGAACGTCAATTCTTGTGACTTTCTCACATGGCGATGGATGTTTGTTTCTTCTAAAATTTTGAATCACTAACAAATTTCCCTTGTTCCGATTTCATGCTGCTTCTGCTACATTTGGTTTATGAGTTGGCCTTTCATAGATTTGCTACTGCAGAGAATGTACTGGTCATATCAATGTGAATATTCAGATCCATATGTCAGTTATGGTTTGCAGATTGGCCCAGCATCTCGTGTGGCATGCTGAAGGAATCAGGCTCTGTCTTAGCAGAGTCAAAAACAAGGCTCTGGATCATGGTGAATTACCCAAGGTAAATGCTATTTCTTAGGCTACTTGCAGCTTGCCAATTGCCCATTCCAATCTCTACAAGTCCCACTAGATGTTTCACAGAATAAAGCAAAAAAAGAGGCTGGGATCACGAAAATGAATTTTCGAAGAGAAATATCAAGAATTATAATTATACATTTTCTCATCATGTTTTATTAATGAATCAAAGGAGTTAGTGAGCATTTATTTTCCTCTCTTGTGTTCCACTGCAATTTGCCAGGGAAATAACATGGACTCTTTCTCTCCCTTTCAACTCTGGTTTTCTTGCTGTGAAAGAGCAGCCATAACTTCTAGCAAAGGTTCCTGAGGGAGGCAGCAAGTAGCCACCCAGGAGCTTTAGGATGGGGCTTCCTATCTCAGTCGTGCCTAGAGGAACTGAAGCAGTTCTTAATGTACTGGTTTGAGGTCCGTCTTACCAGAGTTCCAACCCACCGCATGTCCCTAGTGGTCTATTACTTACTCCGTTATTTTTAATGGCAAAAACCGTTACTTTTAATGGTTACTTTTGCACCAACCTAATATTTCACAGCCACTCTCCTGGATGTTTCTGGGGAGCTTCAGTCTAGGCTCAGACATGGTGCCTGCTGGTTCTGGGAAAAGGTTAAGGGGCTGAGTAGTAGCACACACTACATCCTCCAGACTGTCTATGCCATGGCTATGTTTGGAAACCCTGCAAATGGCCTGGCAGAGTCTCACCTTGCCAATCCAGAGAGGATGTGGGGGATTTCTGGCTTAAGAATAGGCTGAAAAGAGGGACTGGAGGTTACTGCCACATAGCCAAGCATTCCTGGGAACTTTCTGGGAATGTGAACTGATATGAAAATGGCTTAGACTACAAGAATTATAGGGAAATATCAGAATACCCACCTAAAAATGGCTTAAATAAGAAGGCCATTTTAAAGCTTACTTCATGAGGAATTTTGAAATAGGCAGTTCCAGGGTCAGTTTGGCTGCTCAACAGAGTCTTCAAGGACGGAGGCACTCTTCATAATTCTCTTCTGCCATCATCAGGATTCAGTGAAATCTCCCTCTATGGTCACAGGATGACTCCAGCAGTTCTGATTATCCTGGGTTCCTGGATGTGTTATGTGCATTTTTATAAATGTTTTTGTGATTTTTCGGAGGGAGACAAATAGTAGACAACTCAGCCCATATCTACTATTTGTGGGATGTTCCCATTATCACCCAACAGGCTTCATCTTAGGTATTTTTGGTCAGAACTAAATTGCATATTGACTTTTTATACCGTAATCAGCAAAGACTATATATAACCTCTATCTGGACCAATCACAATTGACCTCCTGGGGATAAGCATATGGCTACTAGACAGTCCTCACGGGAAGTAAGGGAGAAGACATAAAGGAAGATGGCCAGCTATTAACTATTTTTTCCAGGATCTGAAAAGAAAACTGGGTTAAATTACACTAAAGAGAATTTAGAATGGCGTTTAGGAAGAAAGTGCAGACAAGAAAGTGGTATTGTACAATGGATCACATTATTGAACTTGTGCATATATATTCCCTATCTTCTAAAAACAGAATGAATAGATTTTGACTAGGACATAATTCATCCTTGCTTGGAGCTTGGAAGATGCAGTAAATTACCTTAAAGCATTTTCTTCATCATGTTGTTAAGAGAATATCATCAGCAAGGAATTAGTTAAGAATTGTATTAAAATTGTAAAAATGGGCATGGCCTCCTCTGCTTTGAAAGATCTATAAGTTCAGAAGTCCCAATCTGTTCCATTTTTGTGACCGTGTTCTTCCAGTTGAGTTAGTCTTAAACTTTACTGTGTTTAGAATTAATTGGGAGCTTGTTAAACATACAGATCCTTGGGCACCACTTTCCATAAATGTTGCTTCAGTAGGTTTATTAGTTTTCTGTATCTCCATAATTAATTATTAAACTTAGTGACATAAACAATAGATATGTATTATTTCACAGTACTGTAGTCAGAAGTAGCTCAGGGAGGCTCAACTAGGTTCTCTACTCCAGCTCTTACAAGGTTGACATCAAGGCATGAGCTGCACTGACCTAGTAGCATTTTTGTAGAATCATCAGATTTTCCACAAAGATGATTATGTCATCTGTGAATAAAGACAGTTTTACTTCTTCCTTTTTTGGTGAATAAGCAATAGGTATTTATTAAATGAGCAGATGGAATAATTATCACAATGTGATACAGTTACATTTTCATTATTATTGCACAATACACTTTTTAAAAAAAATTTCTAACTTTTATTTTAAGTTCAGGCGTATACATTCATGATGTGCATTTTTCTGGAAGTTTAAGCCAGCATAGTAAGGAAAGAAAGAAAGAAAGTGTTTCTACTTCTTCCTTTTTAATCTAGAGGCCTTTTATTTCTTTTTCTTTCCTTACTGTGCTGGCTTAAACTTCCAGAAAAATATTGAATAGAAGTGATAAGAATGCACGTCCTTTTCTTTTGCTAATCTTAGGAAAAAAGCATTTAGTCTCTCTTCATTATGATGTTAGCTGCTGGTTTTTATAATGTCTTTTATTAAATTGAGGGAGTTTCTTTTTATTATTTGTTTGGTGAGAGTTTTTATCAGGAATAAATGCTGATTTTTTGTCAAGTGCTTTTTCTGCATCTATTGAAATTATTATGTGGATTTTATTTTTGTGTTTGTTGATATAGTGAATTACATTGATTTTTGAAATTAATGTTAAATGAACCTGGCATTTCTGAGGAAAACACTGCCTGATAATAATATTAATTTTATATATTGTTTATATATTGCTAAAATTTTGTTTTAAATTTTGAATCTATGCTCATGAGCTATATTGGTCTATAGTTTTCTTATAATGTCTTTGTTTATCAGGGAAATAATGGCTTCATAGAATTAGTTGGGATGTATTTCTTCTTCCTCAAATTTTTTGGAAGAGTTTGTGTAGAAATAATATTTTTCATCTTTAATGTTGGTAGAGTTTACTAGTGAAGCTATTTGGGCCTTGAATTTTTTTGTGTGGGACAGTTTTTTTGCAAATTCAATTTATTTGCTAGCTATAAGGCTATTCAGTTTATCCATTTATTTTTGAAGTCAGCTTTGGGAGTTTGCATCTTTTAAGGAATTTGTCTATATCTTCTAAGTTGTCAATTTTGATTGAGAATGTCATTTTTATTCCATTATTCTCCTTTTAATATTTATAGAATGTGTAATAATGTCACGGATAAGTTTTAAATATCTATGTTTATTCATGTTATCACAGAAGTAGACATGAGGTTTCAGGAGTAGGAATAGACTATTATTACTCACAGCAATAACTGCGTTGGTTCTCGTTTCCTCAGTCTTTCCCTCTTCTTGGAGGATGAGAGCCAGAAGTCACCCAACTTGTACTGGTATCTGAACTATATAGGTGAGGAAGGATAAAAATTCGAATCTAGGGATTTATGTAAATCTTGACTCTTCTACTCCTGAAAGACAGAAATTTAAGCTTCTCAATGTAAACAAATTCACCCTGGGAGGAAAGGGAAAGATTACTGGGTTATTACCCTTTGGAATATAAAGAAATATCTCCAGGTGGAAGATAAGTCTTTGTGTTTACAACCTCTGAAATATCTCTATGGCTCTGTGTCTCAGCCCTCTTTGAAATGTAGGCACATGCCTTTGAAGAGGTAAATCTTTCTGGATGGTCTCTCGTTATTGAATCACCCTTTAACTCCCAAGATTTGTTTGTTGACAAAAGTTTCAAGTGTATTTGCTCAGAAAACCCTAACTGCAAAAATATAAAAATATTCTTTCCTTGGAAGTCACCTCTCTTACTCTGACATTAGAAATTTGTGTCTTCTCTCTTTTTTTTTTTTTCTTCTCTGATCTGCCTGGTCTGGCTCAAGGTTTATCAGTTTTATTGATAGTCTCAAAAACCTAGCTTTTGGTTTCATTGACTTTCCCCACTGTTTTTCAGTTTTCTGTGTTATTAATTTCCCATCTTCTCTTTGCTGTTTCCTTTTTTCTGCTTACGTTGGATTTAAGTTGCTCTTCTTTTTTAAATTTACAAATGTGATAGCTGAGGGGATTTGAGAACCTTTTGCTTTTCTATTATAGACATTTAATGCTATAAATTTCCCTCTAAACACTACTTGAGTGGCATCCCTCAAATTTTTATGTTTTCATTTTTATTCAGTTTAAAATCCTTTCTAATGCTGATTGTTTTATTCTTTGACTTATGATTTATTTAGAAGTATGTCATTTAGGGCCAGGTGCGGTGGCTCACGCCTGTAATCCCAGCACTTTGGGAGGCCGAGGCGGGCGGATCACGAGGTCAGGAGGTTGAGACCATCCTGGCTAACACAGTGAAACCCCGTCTCTACTAAAAATACAAAAAAATTAGCTGGGCCTGGTGGCGGGCACCTGTAGTCCCAGCTACTTGGGAGGCTGAGGCAGAAGAATGGCATGAACCCAGGAGGCAGAGTTTGCAGTGAGCTGAGATCGTGCCACTGCACTCCAGCCTAGGTGACAGAGCAAGACTCCGTCTCGAGAAAAAAAAAAAAAAAGAAGTATGCCATTTAGTTTCTAAATATTCAGGAGTTTCAAGAGATCTTTTTGTTCTTAATTTCTAATTTAGTTCCATTGTGATTAGACAGTATCTTTTGTACAATATGGATCCCTTTAAATATATTGACGTTTGTTTTATGGCTCAGGGTATTGTCTGTTTTGGTAAATATTGTGCGTGCACTTGAAAAGAAGTGTTGGATATAATGTTCAACAAATGTCAGGTCAGGTTGTGTTGTTCAAGCCTTCTATACTTTTACTGGATTTCTGTCTATTTATTCTACCAATTATTGGAAAAGAGTTGTTGAAATCTCTGGCTATAATTGTGGTTTCTGTATTTCTCCTTACAATTCTATGAGGTTTTGCTTCATGTCTGTTGAAGCTCTGTTGTTAGACTCATAAATATTTAGGATTATAATGTCCTTTAGGTACACTGGCCACATTATTATTTTGAAATAACTTTCATTTTCCCTCATACTATTCACTATTCTGCAGTCTACTTTGTCTAATATTAATATAGGCACTTCAGCTTTCTTTTGATTAGTATTAGCATGATACATCTTTTTTTCATAATTTTATTTTAACACATTATGTCTTTAAATTTAAATTTCTTGGGAGGCTGAGGTGGCTGGATCACAAGGTCAGGAGTTTGAGACCATCCTGGCCAACATGGTGAAACCCCATCTCTACTAAAATACAAAAAAATTAGCTGGGTGTGGTGGCAAGCGCCTATAGTCCCAGCTACTCTGGAGGCTGAGGCAGGAGAACGGCATGAACCTGGGAGGCGGAGCTTGCAGTGAGCCAAGATGGGGCCACTGCATTCCAGCCTGGGCGACAGAGGGAGACTCCGTCTCAAAAAAAAAAAAAAAAAAATTAAATTTCATTTCTTGTGGGCAACATATAATTGGGACCTTTTATTTTACCCAATCTGACAATTTCTACCTTTTAATTGAGAGTATTTAGGCCATTTATATTTAATATTATTATTGATATGATTCAGTTAAAGTCTATTATCATCATTATCCTATTTGTTTTATTATGTTAGTCCTGTGTCTTCTTCCTTTCCCTTTTCCTTTGTATCTGTCTTCTTTTGAATTAATTTAGTATTTTTTGATGGTATAATTATTTCATCTTTGTTTATTAGCTATGACTGTTTTTTTTTTTTTTTTTTTAGTGATCACTTTAGTTATTCTTATCTGGCAGTGGTTTTATCCTCCAGGGATCATTTGGCAATGTCTGAGAACATTTTTAATTTTTGCAACTGGGGAGATGCTGCTGGCATCTAGTGAGTAGAGTCTGGGGATGCTACTAAAACTCCTACAATGCACCTAACAGCTCTCCATGACAAAGAATTGTCTGGCTCAAAATGACAAAAGAACTAAGGTTGAAAACACTGCTTTAGGTTTTATACTCTACAGCTATCCCATCAAAGTCTACTTTCAAGTACTATATCCCTTCATGTGTAATATAAGAACCTTACAATAGTATACTTCCAATTTTCCCTTCTTGACATTTATAATACTGTTGTTATACATTTTATTTATGTCTCTGTTGAAAATTCCACAATATATTTTTATTTTTGCTTAGACAACTATCTTTGAAAGATATATAAATAATAAGAACATGATCTTATCTATTTACCAGTATAGTTATCATTTCTGGTACTCTTCATTCCTTTATGTAGATCTGTACTTCCATCTGATATTACCACTGGCTCTGCTACAGCTACTCAGCATTGTGCTGTGGTATAGAATCACTCATGGCAGTAAATTGAGTCAAATGTAGGGCCTACTTTGTATATTTCTTATTTTTTGGATATTACTGTCTTTTGTTGCCTGATGTCATTGTCTTAAAAACTATAGATTCACATCATAGATTTGGTCTGTTTTTGTTTTTGTGGCTGTTGTTGTTTCAAGTGGGAAGGTAAATCTGATTCCTGTTACCCCAGTTTGTTGAGAAGCAAAAGTCTATATATGTGTATATATATATATATCCTTATCCATCAGTTTTCTTATGAGTGGATTTGGCTTCAAATTGCTATTAGTTACTTAGGTGTTATACATAATATTCATGATCATTAAAATCATCTTTATTACCATAAATGTGTGAAGATATTCTAAGTGTATAGAGCTGTTTATGCACTAAATGGCCCTACATTACTCCACTTTTTGAATTATTTTTATTTAAAAATTTTCAGTCTTTCAGTGACATTTAGGAAATGTCCCAGTGTTCACTGTATGCAAAAAGCAATAAAATGATTACTGAAAACAATATTGTCCCTTGCTATTGGTAAAACTTCTCTAACAGCAATGTCAATAGCCATTTCCATCCTCTACCTCTATTTGCATTCTCCATGAACTGTTTGAAATGTTCCTTCTATTAAGAGCAACATTTCCACATAAGATTAAAAATCTAAACGATGGGAAGTTTTTTTCAGCATGTGCTAATGGGAAATTATGAACGAACTAAGTATAGAATTTCAGTTTAAAAAAAAGGTGTGTGGGGATGTTCTTACAGCTGTCAGTGTCAATTCACGTCAAATTCACTTCATTGAAGTTTAAGTTTTTCAGAAAATGTATTTCTTGTGGATATACCGATTAAAACCCATATATGCCTAGTGTTCCATTATCAGAACGCTAAACATGTGGGAGTTATTTATATCCTGCTGCTCAAGGTCATTGCCAAGGTCTGACTGCAAAAATTCAAAAAATTGCAGCCTCAGGCAAACTGGGTTAAGAGTGAGATTTTGCTAGTCCTATGGCCAGGGAGCCTGAGAGTCCCATATTGTGTCCTTTCCATCTCCATTCCTTCCAACCCTCCCACAGGGCTCACTAGAAGTCATGTTTTAAGGACCAAAAGCAGAATGAGAATAAAGATGGAGCACAAGGCAGTGGTTAAAAGTGGGAATTCTGGGATAGGTTGCCTGGTTTCATATCAGCCCCGAAACTTACATACCTTACGCAAGTCACTTAACTTTGTATTGCCCCAGTTTCCTCATCTGTAAAACGGGGTTAATAGTAAGACCTATTTCATTGGATTGTTATGAGGGTTAAATTATATATATATTTTGTGTGCGTGTGTGTATATATATACACACACACATATATGTATGTGTATATGTGTGTGTATATATATACACACACACATATATGTATGTGTATATGTGTGTGTATTTGTGAGTGTATGTTTCATTACCTGTCACATGGAAAATGGTTTATAAGAGTTTGTTAACTAAAGAAAGGTACCTTCCTCTTTATTATATTCTGCAAGCCTCCAAGATCTTCTCTGTTAAGAGGAGCATGTGCCTTAGTTCTGGAGGCCTCCTTTTCTTCTCCATTATGCTGGGGGCATGGTGACTAGTAAAGGGGTAGACAGAAATGAATAAAGGTGTGGGAAGAGAGCAGGAAGAAGATATGTGGGAGATCACTTTTCCAGTCCCCTCTTGAGAAAGAAAATCTTTTCCCAGGGACTTTTCCCACTAAGCTAAGAAGTATGTAGACACAGGCTCTCAAACACTCTGACACATAATCTCTCTTAAGCATCAGTGGTCATCTCCCTCTTACTGTGTAACCAATCTTTTTTTTTTTTTTGAGATGGAGTCTCATTCTGTCACCCAGGCTGGAGTGCAGTGGTGCAATCTCAGCTCACTGCAACCTCCGCCTCCCAGGTTGAAGCGATTCTCCTGCCTCAGCCTCTTGAGTAGCTGAGATTACAGGCGCCCGCCACCACACCTGTGGTGTATTTTTAGTAGAGATGGGGTTTCACCATGTTGGCCAGGCTGGTCTCAAACTCCTGACCTTGTGATCTGCCGGCCTCCCAAAGTGCTGGGATTACAGGCGTGAGTAACCAAACTTTTCTCTCATCAATAAGGCAGAATAAGACCCAAGGAAAGGAATGGTGGCAGTACTTGCAAATGCTTTGGGGTATCTTAGAGGAGAAATTGTAGATATACTGTCCAAGATTTTAGTAGAAAACTAATCGAGTTGGGGTCACTATCTGGGATATAGTTCATTAGTGTTTTAGGTCAGCAGTTAGCCTGAAATTCTGTCAAGTCACCTCATTGCTGAAAAATTTTCAGTGGCTCCACATTGCCTTTTGGATAAAACCTAGACTCCTTAGTAAGAATCACAGATCTCTGCACCTCATCCAAATTGTATCCTTGTAAATATCTCTTGCCAGTGTTAGGTAAAATTGCTTGTTCTGGCTTCGGTCAGCTATTGGTGTCCTCCAAGCTTCCTGTGTTTTTTGGCTTTCATTTATTAAAGCATATCAAGTGCTCATCTATGACACCCTCTGTTTTCTTCTCTACTATATTAGTTCATTCTTGCATTGCTACAAAGAAATACCTGAGACTGGGTAATTTATAAACAAAAGAGGCTTAATTGGCTCACAGTTCTTCACGCTGTACAGGAAGCATGAGGCTGGCATCTGCTCGGCTTCTGGGGAGGCCTCAGGAAACATAATCATAGCAGAAGGCGAAGAGGGAGCAGGCACTTCACATGGTGAAAGCAGGAACAAGAGAGAGAGTTGCGGGGAGGTGCTACACACTTTTAACCAACCAGATCTCACAAGGACTTGTTCACTATCGGGACGACGGTACCAAGGAGGATGGTGCTAAACCACTTATGAGAAATCTGCCCCATGATTTAATCACCTCCCACCAGGCCCTACCTCCAACATTGGGGATTACAATCATGAGATTTGGTGGAGAAAGACACAGATCCAAACCATATTATCTACTAATTTGGGTTCTCCTCACTCCTTAAGACTCAGCTAAAATTTTATATATTTTGACAAACCTTCCCTGGTGACCCCATGGAACTGTCTCATTTGTCTCGCTCTCTCTCTCTCTCTCTCTCTTTTGGCTGCATGGAAGTTTTTCTAAGTTTTTGGCCCAAACTCTCTTATCTTTCCCCTTGGATAACTTTTACGTTTCTCTCTTTCTTCCTCTATAAGATTGATTCTTAAATTACATCTCTACTCCCATCTGGTATTGGCAGTATGTCCAGAACCTCATTTCAGAGTGTATAAAATTTAGCTTGTTACAAATGCCCTGTGCTGGACAAACTGAACTAGTTAATTCCTAAATATTCATTGTTTTTTGTTGTTGTTGTTCTTGTTCTTTTGGATGTGCCATTTCTTCAACTAAGGGCATCTTCTCTTTGAATTCTCTTAAATCTTGCCTTTTCTTCAAAGTCTCAAACATCATTTTATTCCTGAGGTTATCTCTGATCAACTTATTGGAAATCTCTCCATTTTTTGGTGCCTTTTGTTTGAACTACTATAATAGCATTTTTTATAAGCAAAAGTGCTTATCCTAGTGTCTGATATATAGTATAATTTAAGTATTTTAATGTATAAAAACATGATCCTGACTTCTGAGCTCTTCAAGCTTGCATTTTCTGAGCTATTTTAGTTTATGCACACTAAACTTTCCACCCAACTAGATAATAAGCTTTTAGAGGGCAGAGACATACTTTATATTTCTTTGTATTTTTTACAGTTTGATAAATGCTTTGCATCCTTTTTTTTAAGCAACAATTTGTTAATTCATAATGTTAATATAAGGTAATGACCTAGTGATAAAAAAGTAGTATGACATGTATTGTAAAACATCTTTCCATTAAGCTCCCCCATCTTCAGAAAGCTATGTAGACACAGCCTGTCACTAGAAAGGAAATAATATTACTCTGAGACAATTGTACATGTGCCCTGATTCTAGAAGATGTTATAAACTATTTGTTATGATTCCTATGATTCCTATAAAGTTGCCTTTTAGCTAATACCAAGTCTGTCTCAGATGGAAATCTGATCTCTCTTTGACTGCTCTCATTTCTCCCGTTTATCTTTTCTGAATTCTGAAGGCTGTTTAGGTTCTGAGCTTTGTCTTGGGTTTCATCGTGAAATGGGTGATGATTGATTCTATTAGGGCTAGAAAAATAGTTTAAGCTTTCCATTTATACTGGAGCAGAACAACTACACACATCCCAAGCTTTTCTTTCACTAATGTTAACCATGATCTTTCAGGACATAACTATAAGGTGTTGTGATTAAACAGTCACGATGTCTGTTCTGCTTTAATTTCGGGGGGATTGGGAATAAGGCAGAAAAAAAGAGCTGAGAAGACACATGAGACATAGCCTAATCACATCTTCTGAGCTTGAATTTACCAGTTGTAGCAGGATTTAAAGTGTCAGGTTCTTATTTTTTCTTAAAACTAAATAAATAAATCAAATTCTGCCTCGGTGGCCTCCAAGGCTTAATGGGCCTGAGTCTATTTGTCTAAGAGGCTGACAGAGGCTGGGAGAGGGGTCTGGATGAGAGCTTTTCATCCAGCATCTCCTCTCTGTATGGAATGTAATCTTTTCTTTTTGAGGGGCCTAAAATCCCGTTGTATTTTGTAGTCTCCCCTTTATCTGATATTGCATAGCTGTTTTGTTAATTGCTTCAGGAAATGAAGGGTTCTTTCTTGACCTCATGTGGAAAGTAACCTCAAATAAATTTTTTTTTTTGCTTCACCTCTATCTTGATATCAACATAGTTTAAAATGGGACTGTTCTTTTAATGCCAGTTAGGTTTTGGTGAACATTTGGATTTTCTTCCTTTAAAAAGTTGCATTTTTACTTAACAGTAAATATTTTCAAAAAGAGAAAAATCCCACATCTGTGAACTTAAACAAAATATTCTCATGGAAAATAGAGAAAGGAGCCCTCCATAGTTGGCAAGTTAAAAAAAAAAAGGTGTTCTGAGAGAGCAGTAAATTGTGACAGAGAGCTTAGTTGACTGGGAGAAGAATTACAGAAAGCATTGGCAGTGGATGTGTGGCCACTTACCAAGATTTACTCCGAAAATGAAAAATCCTGCACCTGTCACACAGAGATTCTTCATACTATTTTTGCTCACTTAGTTTTGCTCATTTAAGTATTCTTTGGTATTGCTTAGTGGACTAAAATACATGTTCAAGGCAGAGGGAGGCGAACTCAGAAGAGGAGGTTCTCTTTCAATTAAATAATTAAAAAAATTAACGTAGCCACAATACTCTATTTAAATATATACAACATGCTTTCCCCCAAAAAACAAGAACAAACACATTAACAATAAATATCCTTGGGTCCAGATTATGGCGAGGTCAGAGAGGTGGGGTAAAGAGGGAGGGAAAATGGACTTTGGGGACTTGGGAGGAAATGGTGGGAAGGGGGTGAGGGATAATAAAAGGCTACAAATTGGGTTCAGTGGTGATGGGTGCACCAAAATCTCACAAGTCACCGCGAAAGAACTTATGTAACCAAATACCACTTGTTCCCCCAACACCTGTGGAAATTTAAAAAATAAAATTAGAGATGATATACTTTCATCCATCTCTTAGGGAATAGGGTCACAAAACAGGTCATGCATCAGAAAAAAATTAAGAGCAAATTATCTAATGATTCTGGAATCTCTCTCCCCTCATTTTAATGAAATACATATTTACATTAAAATATCTTCTAAAGTCAAACAAAAGGGAGGGAGGAAGGGAGATGGAGAGAAGAGGGTATGGGGACAGACTAGGTGGGAGGGAATGGAGAGGGAAATGTCCTTAGACACAAAGGAAAACCCAGAACGGAGCAAGAAGATGTAAAGGAGAGAGATGAAACCCTGAGGAAAGACGGGAAGGCAGCAGCAAGCACTGTAACCTCTCAGTGGAATGTAAAGTGGAAGGGGAAGAGTAAAATGTTCTTTCCCACTTGAACTTGGGACATTGACCATTCTTGGAATCTTAAGGCCTACATAATAGTATAGGACAATGGATATATATTCTTTATTTTCATTATTCATTTGCTCCTGGTTTGGGAAGGGTATGCATATTTGTTAGCATCTAATCTCTTTTGGAGCTGGTATTGTAAAGTTCCTTGTATGTTCCTATAGCCTGGGTCAGAAGCCATTACTGTCTGGAGTTGGGAGATGTCCAATTTATTATGAAAATGTTAAGAGGGAAATCAGCTGAATTATTCTAACATCTCTGAGGCCTATACTGCTGACACCTGTGTCAGGTCATGAATAAATGATTTTTTAACTGCCATGCTTTTAGAAGATTCTTTTAAAATGGTAGCCAGTAAGTGGGCTGTCAGGTATTATTAATAGTAGGCTGAGTCCATGGAGAATCCAGAGGAAACATTAACATGTAAGAGCTCATTATTCTACTGGTATGAGACACCTATGAGCTATTTTTGCATGCTTATCTGAGAAATGATGAGAAATTTATTTTTGTAAGCTAAAAGAAAAAAAATCTCTGTGGTTGATTGGTTTAATCTTTAGGTTTTACTTTATATTCTATTTCCAGCAAAAGCCTCTTAATATGTTCTTTATTACCCTTCAGGAACATGTTCTGGTGCATGTTGTCATTTATACATGGCAGAGAGGCTGAAAAAAGTAATTTCTCAATTGATAAGTTAAAGACTTGTACTTTGCTCTTTGAACACTTGAATTGAGTAGCTGTTCAGGAAGAAAACAAATGATTGGGGGTGTTAAAGAGGCAGCCTAGGCTGGGTGTGGTGGCTCATGCTTGTAATCCCCAGCACTTTGGGAGACTGAAGCAGGAAGATTGCTTTAGCCCATGAGTTCAAGACCAGCCTGGGCAACATAGTGAAACCACATTTCTATGAAAAATAAAATAAAATTAGCTGAATGTGGTGGTGCATTCCTATACTTCCAGCTACTCAGGGGGCTGAGGTAGGAGGATCATTTGAGCCCTGCAGGTCAAGGCTGCAGTGAGCTGTGATCATGCCACTGCATTCCAGCCTGGGGGACACAGTGAAACCCTGTCTCAAAAAAAAAAAAAAAAAAAGACAGTCTGTGTGCACCTAAAATATTGTTGACTATCTTAGTCAGTTTCATGACAGTTGTTTAAATGCAGAGAAATTGGATGGTGGACTGATTCTTTGGGATGTGTTAGAGTACTATGCAATATTTGCTAACATTAAATGTAAATATCCCCTTAGATATTGACAAGGCACGAATGAATCTTGGAATTTCTTTTGGTTTTATCAGGCCCAACAGATGAAGGTGTGTAGAAGACTAATTCCCATCTCTGTGGGTATATAAGAAGCTGCTGCATATCCTAGAAACCTTATTCCAGGCAGTGATGGCTACCTCCCTTCAGGCCTGCCCAGTACTCAGTTATTCCAGGGCCCACTGTGATTGTGGAGTGAAATTCCGTAACATGCCCTTTATGGCAGTTGACACCACCAGAGCCATTGCATTTCCATTGTTGCTAGGGATTGGAGTTTCCCCTATTTGTACTGTATTTCCCAAAGTTGGCATGGGGTTTCCTGTTATTTAAGTACATTTCTTAGAAATGTTTTTCAAATAGCCTCATTGTTTACTATGAAAATAGTCTAGAAAAACAGAAAATGTTTCTATTTGAGCTGATCATAAATGTTTGGTATGACCTTCTTAAAAAACACACAGATAAACAGTTGTAGGGACAATTCAGGTCACAGCTTAAAGACTTCAGAAGTAACTTTTAGACTGAGGCTCAAGTTAACATTGAAGAGGGAACTGTAATCCTCTCTGTTAGACCCAAGGAAAATCCCTTCTGAATGTTGCAGTGTTTGGTGTTCCTTCCCTTTGAGTCCGCTAGTTATTTTTTTCCAAATTTAGATTTTCTATTATTGCCATAATTTTTCCAGTTTCAAGAAATATACAAAAGAGACTTGTGGAGTTATTGTTAGTAATTAAATAATAATGATTAACACAATTAATTAATGTTCCTGGTTAACAATTATAATGACCATGAGCCATTTGTTAAGCAAAATGTACCTGGTCCACTCCCCCTTAAAGAGGGGTGTGACGATGATTTTATTTTGTTTTATTTTATTTTATTTTATTTATTTATGTTTTTGAGACAGAATCTCACTCTGATGCCCACGCTAGAGTGCAGTGGTGAGATCGTGGCTCACTGCAGCCTCGACTTCCCGGTTCAGGTGATTCTCCCTACTCAGCCTCCTGAGTAGCTGGGACTACAGGCATGCACCACCATGCCTGGCTAATTTTTGTATTTTTTGTAGAGATGGGGTTTTGCCATGTTGCTCAGGCTGGTCTCAAACTCCTGGGCTCAAGTGATCCACTCACCATGGCCTCCCAAAATGTTGGGATTATAGACGTGAGCCACCACACCCAGCCATAATTAATTTTATATGTCAACTTGGAGGGTGTTTTGGGTTTTTGGATGAGATGAACATTTAAGCTGATGAGTAAATAAGTAAGTAAGTGGATTCTCCTCCATAATGAGGGTGGGCCTCATCCAATCAGTTGAAGGACTGAATAGAATGAAAAGATGCCCTCAGCAAGGGAGAAATCTCCAAAGGACTGCCTTCAGACTTCATCCACACCATCGTCTCTCATGGGTTTCCAGCCTGCTGGCTCACACTGCAGACTCTGGACTTGCCAGCCTCTATGGTCAAGTGATCCAATTCTTTACAATAAATTTCTTTCAATATATATGAAGCACAGTCTATGTATATTAATTATGTGCTTTTAAAATGTGAACAGATATACATAAAACTGTTTATGTGACTAAAATGTTTAAAATATTCCTTACTAAAGTGATAATTTTAACTGGTCCTAAAATTCTATCTTTAAAAAAGTAAGGCCTGCATAGAAAAAGGGAAAGTCTTAAAGTTTACTTTTTATAATTTCATAAATGTTTTACATTTTGTGATAGCAGAAATGACATCCTTACAGGAAACAAACTGTAAAACCATGAAGCAGAATTCTTTAAAAGTTGAAGGAAAAATTAGGAAATTTTGTTCAGATATCAAACTCAAGTAAACTGTGTTGAATAAACAATTAGGTATCAATGTGTATTTTGTTAACCAAGGATAAATGCTGAAAGAATCTTTAAAATTAGCAAGCTTTGACTATTAAAATATGATTCTTAATTGAAGCAGAGACTGCTAATTGTCCTCCAGTATCTAGTCTCTCTTTTTTAATTCAGTATAGATATAACAGAATCCCTAATTTTTACCTGGGCACATGGATTCCTGGAATAAAGACTTTGTTTTCTAGTTGGCTTGCAGCTAGGCATAGCCATGTGACTAGGTTCTAGCCAATGGACTGCAGTGTGGAGAGAAGAAGGCAGGCAGCCATCAGGGACTGCTAGGTGGAAGCTGCGTGCTGAGGATGGCAAAGCAACCAGGTAGATGGAACCTGGGTGCCTGACCTCATGGGGTGCCATCCCAGACCTGGGCTGATTACCTCCAGTCTTTTTATTTGTTTGAAAGAGAAATAAATGATAGTATTTAATCAGTTTATTTTCAGTTACTCCATCTAGACCCATTTTTAGGGTCTAGGGTTACTCTGACAGATACATAAAAGTGTTTTTCTTTTTGATCACTTGTAAAACAATTTTCTGTGTAAATAAATTCCTCAGGATAATAAAGTTTGACGGTATGTTCTCAGGTCCACAACAGCATTGAAAGACTGTTTTCCAGTAAGATTTCATGTGTTGGACTTCAGTGATTAGAGAATTTGGTTGGGTAAGAACGGGTGAATGAGCCTGGCTCCTGAAAAAAGAGAAAACCCATGCTGGATTCATCAAGACCTTACATTCAGCAACTATTGTCTGTCACCTCAACAGATGAAACAACCAACAGGTATAGTGGGAGCCAAGAGAGAATACATACGTTTTGACATTAAAATGTTTTGATATTAAACATGAGGCTAAATTTTGCAAAAGGTACAGGTTAGAGCATAAAAGAGAGAAGCATGGTAGTGGTGATGTCAGTCTGCTTTATTCTGTCACTACCATTACAGACTGTATTTATAACCACATATCTCATGTGCCCCATTTGTCACCATGGGAAGTAGAGGACAAACTCAAAGCCACCTGCAACCCCAAGCACAAGCCCCTATAAGATGCCTTCTTTCTGTTTCGGTCCCTGTGCAAAACCTGCCCAGACAGATGGCTCTGCCCAAGTGGGAGGCAAATTTAGGCTTATGAAAATGCTTAGGATGAAACAGGTTTACTTGGAATACTCTTCCTAAATGGAACTCTGTGTTCTTTCGAAGTTACAGACATACCAAACTGAACTTTTCATTGGCACTTTTTAATGAAATCACAGTGGTTTTTCTTTACTGTTTATTGTAAGTATTATATTTATGTGACTACCAATCCCTATTCAGAGCACATTGGCATGTTAGTTTGTTTCAAAGAAATGAAAACAATTCTGGCTGGCATGTTTTTTACCTGTTGGTTGTAGCATCTATGCTGGACAGCATATTTCGGACACTCTTTAAAAAAGTCATTTTCTTTTTCCCATAATGTTAGAAATGTTTTGGTCTTATTTTAAGCACTTTAGGTCCTTTTTGCGTAATTTTTTCTGCCTTTACTGATGTTTGCAACACGTCTCAATTTAGTACCATCTGTGATTCCATCAGCTTGCTATTTACTGCCTTTTCTAAATCATTAAGGGAGATGTTATGGCAATAATGCTTTATTTACATGTCACTTTACAGGAAGCTCAAAGTATATTTGTAGGAGTTACTGTATTAAACAATGGCACCCATGTGAGGTAAAGAATTTCACAGTTAGCATTTCAACATTAGCATGACTTATTTAAAATAGAAAAAAATATTGCCATGACTCTGGATTTGAAGCATGTATGTTATTAGGTATTCTTGTTGTTCTGAGCTATTAAGGAAGTTGTTGCAGTAGCTTCTGGTGGCTATGTCATAATATGAGAGGTGAGAATTACTGAGTTACATTGATGAATGAGTTTTACTTTTTGCCAGTTCCCTCTTGGCCTCAACATCAAAGTCTTAATTATTGTGAATTGGCTAAAAGCCAACAAAATTAGAGGAAGAAGGAGAAACAAAAGATTCAGGTAAAATGAATTATTAAGAATGAAAAAAATTCTGATAGTGTCTCTCTTCCTTTTAGATTATGATTCCGTCAGTGTTTGTACATGCTTGTAGAGGCCAGCGGACTAAGGAATTCTTTGTAAAAAAAAAAAAAAGGAAGAAGAAAATGAGGATCCAGGTTGATGACTTAATGTACAGATTTTATTTTGTTATTTTATTTTTAAATATTGTACTATGAAAATCAAGTTGTGCTTGGTTAAACACACACAAAAAAATCTCTCATGTACTTAATCAGTATTTTTAGTAACTCTTCAATGACATAGGCTATTAGCAGCCGCTTAAGGAACCTCAGCTCTAATTTAGCCCTTATTTTAATCTTGAGTTCTGAAAGTCAGAAATTAAATGTCATCTATTAGCAACTAATACTACCTTTGCAAGTTAGTTCAAGAACTTTGGGCTCCTAATTTACATATTGCAAGCTGTTGCTGAATTTAGTGTGAGAGCTACCATTTGCCTGTAACAGAATTAAAATTATGATCATCCAAAAGAATTTGTAGGACCTAACAGAACTTCTCATTGATTTTTGGCTTTTAAATTTATCATTTCTCTTTCTTCTTACCATGAATTCATTACCTTAGTAGCTTAGTATTTATTTCTAAATGAGCTTAATAGTGGGGAGTCAAATGAAGGGACAGTTACAGGCATCTTTCTCTATAAGAATATAAAATTGATGGCAGATTTTGGGAAATGGAGTTTTTGCATTTGCATTTAAGTTGCTCACCAGGACACTGAAGATTATGTTTACATTTGTTTGACTGACTGTTGTCTCAGGTTGCTGTGTCTCCTGGGGATGGCTCTGTGTGGTCCACCCAAAGCTGAACAGCTGCTTTAGATCTTTATTGTTGTCGTAGCAGTGGAGACCTAAAGACCGTAGGGAGTCCAGGGCGATTAGAATGCAGCTTGCCAAATTTAATTCATTTGAGTATCATCATCTGATTAGCCTCATAGATACACATGACTTTATTATTTACCTAATGTTTTTCTTTTAAGTCAACTAAATTTTGTGTTTTAAATAAATTATTTTAAAAGGATTTTTTTTTTTTTTTTTTGAGATGGAGTCTCACTCTGTCGCCCAGGCTGGAGTGCAGTGACGCGATCTTGGCTCACTGCAAGCTCCGCCTCCCAGGTTCACGCCATTCTCCTGCCTCAGCCTCCTGAGTAGCTGGGACTACAGGTGCCCACCACCATGCCCGGCTAATTTTTTGTATTTTTTAGTAGAGACGGGGTTTCACCGTATTAGCCAGGATGGTCTCGATCTCCTGACCGCATGATCCACCCGCCTTGGCCTCCTAAAGTGCTGGGATTACAGGCGTGAGCCACTGCGCCTGGCCTTTAAAAGGAAATTTTTACATTACTAGCCCAAATTAGAAAAATCATTTTTTCCCAAAATAGATGGTAACTATAAAAATGAATAGGATGAAAAACCAGATGAAGTACAGTCATGCATTGCATAATGACATTCTGGTCAGTGATGAAATGCATATACAATAGTGGTTCCAGAAGATTATAATACTATATTTTACAGAACCTTTTCTATGTTTAGATATGTTTAGATACACAAATGGTTACCATTGTGTTAAATTTGCCTATAGTATTCAGTACGGTAACTTACTGTGTAGGTTGGTAGCCTCAGAGCAACAGGCTATACCATCCAGCCTAGGCGTATAGTAGGCTATTCCATCTCAATTTGTGTAAGTACATTCCATGATGTTCATAAAACAACAAAATCACCCACAATGCATTTCTCAGAATGTATCCTTATTGTTAAGTGACAAATGACTGTATATAGTTTTAACTAAATAAAGTTACCTGGAGCTCAGTCCCTGAGAACATGTCTCCTGTTTAAACAAGAATAGAAAGATGTTAAAGGCCTACTAGTACTAAACTGAAATTTTTCTCCTTGATACTAGGAAATTAAAAGGGGAAACACTTTGTCTCTACCTGATTTAGAGTGTTTAATGTACCATTACCACCTAAAATGATGTCCCAGATTACTAGTTGAAGCATTCCATACATTGGGAAATACTAGATTAAAGAAACAAAGAGAAAGGATCAAATAGCCTCACTCACTCTCCCATTCATTCATTTCTCTTGTTATGGGCCTGAAACTGGGTATGTAGTGTTGAACAACAAAAACCAAATTCCTGCCCCCATTGACTTAACCATTGAACACGGATCTTTTCTTCCTTGTAACCTATTCTATCATGCATCTACTCTTGCTCTGTCAAATTCTTTTCATCCCAGCTCTTATCTCATTGCTGTCCCAATATAGTGTAACTCATTTGGAGGACTAGAAATTCCTTGAAGTTCTTGTTCTCCTCTGACATCAGACCAGTCCCTATGTGTAAGGCCAAGCCTTGGAATGTGCCTGGAAGGCTCTGTCTCTGGTTCACAGGCTAGATCTCCAAGCCTCTAGCAAATTTGGACAATACGTCATATCTCTCATGTCTTTCCTGAAATTCCTGCATGATCAGAGAAGTTGGGGAGGCAGGGGGGTATATCTAATAATAAGAGGTCCAGGATCATGATTATTCTTTCTTTTGTGCTACTATTTAGTGACAAGTTAGGTTTTAATCCAAAAGTGTGCTCTGGGGCCTCAAGTACAAAATCAGGCTGCCTCAATTGTCTTAACATTGCCTGGTAGAATCCCTTAAATGAGGGGTGGTTAATGCAAAATATATGTATTTTATTAATATATTATTTGGTATATTAGTAAGTGCTTTTTTAGGTTTCCATATAAAATCTTTCCTCCAATGTTATTACCAAGCCTCAGAACTTCTTCAGAGTTAATGCCTGTGAACTCCTCATTTAATGCCCCATTGTTCTCACAGAAATTAATTACAGCGAATGTTGTCTGACTTCATGGGAGTTTAATGACAGAGATTATGACCTCACATTCCCTTTGCAGAAGGAAAGCAGGTGTGGCCAAGACCGGCTTTACTAAAAGCCTCCCACTACATCTTTATTCGAAGAAATATAGTTATCTATAGTTAGAACTTGGAACTTCCAAATTGTATTTGTTGTTCTGACTGAACTTTTGTCAAATTATATAAGTGCTTCGATAAGGAGTTGTATCTCTCCCATTACCCTTCTAAATTTAGAAATGATAATTTTTGACATCCTCTAGGGGAAGAAAATTCTTGAAAGCTCTGATAAAAGCAAATTTGTTAACAAATTTAAAAGGTAATGTTAATGTTAAATTCCAGGAAAGAAAAACTATTTACAGTATATGCTAGGAATATTTGGAAACAATACTAGGAAATATGAATGTGCATGATTAATAAGTATTTTTTAAAGTTTTCAAAGAGTATCAGTAATCATACATCTGTAATCTTACTGAGAAGTGAGTCTGTCTTGTTGCTTTCTGAAATCTTTACTGTGCATTTTCAGTTGTGGATTCCACTAGGGCTGTATATACGCATCTGCTAGTGATATACCCTTTGGATGGTCAATAAAAATGCCAAGTGAAAAACATTTAAATCTTCTTTTTATTTAGCAGTTTTCTTCCAGAGGTAGCCTCAGGAGAAATGATACTGGCTGCTCTCTTGTACTTTACTAATAATAGTAATTTAAAGATGAAGTATTTGAAAAGATTGGCATGTAAGTCAGGAAGGGACAGTTGCACAGTTTAGATTGAAGAGAAAATAAGTATCTGTTTGCTTGTTGCCAGATTATCCATCAGCTTAATGCAACTGCAATTTCTCACTTCGTATGACAGTGTGTTTATAACAAGAATTTATAATTTTGCCATTTCACTTCTCAGTTTGTGTGACCTTATGTCTCTTGCCATAGCTACTTCTTAGAGTGCTGTGATATCGGACACCTTTGACATCTGGTGGGATTTCCTCTGAATGCCTAAGGAGAAACTCATACAATTTGTGTAGAGCCATCCCAGCAGGTACCTTTCAGGCTTGGGAGCTTGGAAAAATGCTGATAGAACACAGTGTAGAGGAATAAATGCCAAGAGAATATTCTTGCTACGGGTAGCTGTGGAAAATGGACAACCTACAGGATAGAGTAGTTTCTTAGTAATTCTCTGGAAAGGTAGGGGATGACTTTTCCAGCTGTAGTTTCTTGGACCAAAGCCCAAGCTTCCTATGGATGTATCATAGCAAGAATTCCTGGCAACATAACAGTGTCTCCAATTCTGCCAGCACAAGCTTGCTTACTGAGTTATCTGTAAATAACATGACACAAAGGCATTTCCAAAGTCAAGACTGTTTTTAGGTAAGATTTAGTGTATATTTTTATTCACTGGAAAACGAAATGCTATTTATTATAGTCCCTCTTAGAGTACCATGAAGAATGGATATAACAAATGCCAAAGATAAGAGTTAATTTATTTATAATATGTTTAACAAATATTTCAACATCAAAGAAAGTAAATTTTAGTTTTTCAAATAAAGAAATATCTTAATTTCTGTTCATAGACATTAAGCAAATATTGAATTGTTTCAAAATGTTATCCCTTTAGATAGAATAAAGGTTTTCTTGTTTGTATATTTTTGTTTTGAATTCTTTAGGTATTAAAAGTGTGTAGAGGCTAATGTTAGTCAAAGTGTCTGTGTTTAGAACTCCCTCCCACAAACTAGATATTTTATAAGTTTTGTTTACCTCCCTTAACTAGAGTTTGAGAGGTAGGTGGTTGCTGGCTCAAAGATTTCAGAGTTTAGTTCTTCAAATTTTTTTTACCCTATTCTTTGTGGCCTTCTTATGGTTACAAGATAGGTGCTCCATCTCTAACATTATATCCATATTTCAGGCAGAAAAAAGGAGAGAAAAAAAGCAGAAAGGCTAAAAAGAAAAAAATAACAAGGCTAAAAAAGCAAAAAATAGCAACAAGGCTAACAAAGAAAAAAAAGGAGGAAAATAAAGCTGAGTTTGCTCCGTTTTTGAGTAATTGCTCAATCCAATTAAATGTCATTGGCCAGAATTGTATTGTATGGCCTCTCCTCTCTGCCAGACAGCTGATTATTGTTTTTTACATGATAACATGATGATCTCCCAGCCCCTAAAATGACATTCTCTTATGAAAGAAGACAGAAAGGGAAGGAAATCAGTCTATCACAAAAATCCATCTTTATTGCTACCTCTTAAATAATTTTCAAATCTATTCATATTTCTGTATTTCCATTTATATCATGTTTTAACAGACAAGGAATAAGAAATCAGTTAATTGAATTGATCAGGGAGGGTCTCAGGGAGGAGATGAGACTTGAAAATGGGTTTTGAGGTTTAGCTATTGCTTGGAGAAGAGAGGAAGGTAGGAATTCCAAGCAAAAGGGAAGAAAGGATAAAAGCTCCAAGATGGACGTGATCATGGTACATACATATGAGTGTGATTATGGTTATGGGCAAAGAGACAATTAGGAGATAAGACTTTCTTGATCTGAGATGTTTGAGACAATCTTTTTTTTTTATACTTTAAGTTTTAGGGTACGTGTGCACAACGTGCAGGTTTGTTACATATGTATACATGTGCCATGTTGGTGTGCTGCATCCATTAACTCGTCATTTACATTAGGTATATCTCCTAATGCTATCCCTCCCCCCTCCCCCCACCCCACAACAGTCCCCGGTGTGTGATGCTCCCCTTCCTGTGTCCATGTGTTCTCATTGTTCAGTTCCCACCTACGAGTGAGAACATGCAGTGTTTGGTTTTTTGTCCTTGCCATAGTTTGCTGAGAATGATGGTTTCCAGCTTCATCCATGTCCCTACAAAGGACAAGAACTCATCATTTTCTATGGCTGCATAGTATTCCATGGTGTATATGTGCCACATTTTCTTAATCCAGTCTATTGTTGTTGGACATTTGGAGTGGTTCCAAGTCTTTGCTATTGTGAATAGTGCCGCAATAAACATATATGTGCATGTGTCTTTATAGCAGCATGATTTATAATCCTTTGGGTATATACCCAGTAATGGGATGGCTAGGTCAAATGGTATTTCTAGTTCTAGATCCCTGAGGAATCGCCACCCTGACTTCCACAATGGTTGAACTAGTTTACAGTCCCACCAACAGTGTAAAAGTGTTCCTATTTCTCCACATCCTCTCCAGCACCTGTTGTTTCCTGACTTCTTAATGATCGCCATTCTAACTGGTGTGAGATGGTATCTCATTGTGGTTTTGATTTGCATTTCTCTGATGGCCAATAATGATGAGCATCTTTCATGTGTTTTTTGGCTGCATAAATGTCTTCTTTTGAGAAGTGTCTGTTCATATCCTTCACCCACTTGTAGATGGGGTTGTTTGTTTTTTTCTTGTAAATTTGTTTGAGTTCATTGTAGATTCTGGCTATTAGCCCTTTGTCAGATGAGTAGGTTGCCAAAATTTTCTCCCATTCTGTAGGTTGCCTGTTCACTCTGATGGTGGTTTCTTTTGCTGTGCAGAAGCTCTTTAGTTTGATTAGATCCCATTTGTCAATGTTGGCTTTTGTTGCCATTGCTTTTGGTGTTTTAGACATGAAGTCCTTGCCCATGCCTATGTCCTGAATGATATTGCCTAGGTTTTCTTCTAGGGTTTTTATGGTTTTAGGCCTAACATGTAAGTCTTTAATCCACCTTGAAGTAATTTTTGTATAAGGTGTAAGGAAGGGATCCAGTTTCAGCTTTCTACATATGGCTAGCCCATTTTCCCAGCACCATTTATTAAATGGGGAATCCTTTCCCCATTGCTTGTTTTTCTCAGGTTTGTCAAAGATCAGATAGTTGTAGATATGCGGCATTATTTCTGAGGGCTCTGTTCTGTTCCATTGATCTATATCTCTGTTTTGGTACCAGTACCATGCTGTTTTGGTTACTGTAGCCTTGTAGTATAGTTTGAAGTCAGGTAGCATGATGCCTCCAGCTTTGTTCTTTTGGCTTGGGATTGACTTGATGATGCGGGCTCTTTTTTGGTTCCATATGAACTTTAAAATAGTTTTTTCCAATTCTGTGAAGAAAGTCATTGGTAGCTTGATGGGGATGGCATTGAATCTACAACTTACCTTGGGCAGTATTGCCATTTTCATGGTATTGATTCTTCCTACCCATGAGCATGAATGTTCTTCATTTGTTTGTATCTTCTTTTATTTCCTTGAGCAGTGGTTTGTAGTTCTCCTTGAAGAGGTCCTTCACATCCCTTGTAAGGTGGATTCCTAGGTATTTTATTCTCTTTGAAGCAATTGTGAATGGGAGTTCACTCATGATTTGGCTCTCTGTTTGTCTGTTACTGGTGTATAAGAATGCTTGTGATTTTTGCACATTGATTTTGTATCCTGAGACTTTGCTGAAGTTGCTTATCAGCTTAAGGAGATTTGGGGCTGAGACAATGGGGTTTTCTAGATATACAATCATGTCATCTGCAAACAGGGACAATTTGACTTCCTCTTTTCCTAACTGAATACCCTTTATTTCCTTCTCCTGCCTAATTGCCCTGGCCAGAACTTCCAACACTATGTTGAATAGGAGTGGTGAGAGAGGGCATCCCTGTCTTGTGCCAGTTTTCAAAGGGAATGCTTCCAGTTTTTGTCCATTCAGTATGATGTTGGCTGTGGGTTTGTCATAGATACATCTTATTATTTTGAGATACGTCCCATGAATACCTAATTTATTGAGAGTTTTTAGCATGAAGCATTGTTGAATTTTTTCAAAGGCCTTTTCTGCATCTATTGAGATAATCATGTGGTTTTTGTCTTTGGTTCTGTTTATATGATGGATTACGTTTATTGATTTTCATATGTTGAAGCAGCCTTGCATCCCAGGGATGAAGCCCACTTGATCATGGTGGATAAGCTTTTTGATGTGCTGCTGGATTCGGTTTGCCAGTATTTTATTGAGGATTTTTGCATCAATGTTCATCAAGGATGTTGGTCTAAAATTATTTATTTAGAAAGCAGAATGGGAGAGATGTTGAGTAAGATGGCCAAATAGAAGGCTTCACTGATTGTTCCCCCTGCAAGGACACCAGTTTAACAACTATTTAAACAACAAAAAAAAAGCAAGTTCCTGAGAACCAAAAATCAGGTGAGCACTCACAGTTCCTGATTTTAACTTCATATCACTGAAAGAGCCACTGAAAAGAGTAGGAGACAGTCTTGAAGTGCTGATGCCACCCCTCCCGCATCTCCTATGCCCCAAACGTGCAGCGCAGAGAGAGAATCTATGTGCTTGGGAGAAGGAGAGCACAGCAATTGTGAGACATTGTGTTGAATTCAGTGGTGCCCTATCACAACAGAAAGCTAAGCCAGCTGAACTCAGTTGACCCCCTACTCATGGAAGGAGTATTTTAACTGGCCCTAGCCGGAAGGGAATCACCCATCCCAGCTGTCAGAACTGGAGTTCTGGCAAGCCTTGCCACCACAGAATAAAGTGCCTCTGAAACCCTAAATAAACTTAAAAGGCAGTCTAGGCAACAAGGACTGTAACTCCTAGGCAGGTCCTAGTGCTGAACTGGGCTCAGAACCAGTGGACTGGGGGGACACATGACCTACTGAGACAACAGCCAGGGAGGCTAAGGGAATGCTTGCCCCACCCCTCTCCCCAGTCCCAGGCTGAACAGCTCGCAGCTCCAAATGAGACCCCTTCCTTCCGCGTGAGGAGAGAGAAGATTGAAGAGGACTTTGTCTTTCATCTAGGATACTGGCATAGCCACAGTAGGAAAGGACACCTGTCAGAGTCAGGAGGCCAACTTTCAGGCCCTCGCTCCTGGACAATATTTCTAGACACACCCTGGACTGGAAGGGAACCCACTCCCTTGAAAGGAAGGACCCAGTCCTGGCAGGCCTCATACCCTGCTGACTAAAGAACACTTGATCCCTGAATAACCAGCAGTGATACCAAGGTAATATGCCACAGGCCTTGGGTGAGACCCTGAGACTTACTGGCTTCAGGTGAGATTTAGCATATTCCCAGCTCTGGTGGCTATGGGGAGAGACTCCTTCTTCTTGAGAAAAGCAGAGGGAAAAGTAAAGGGAACTTTGGCTTGCATCTTGAAGAGCCCTTGGCCCTTAAGTGAACATCAGTGGGTACCAGCTTGGCCATGAGAGTAGAGCACAAGTGGGATCTTGGGTTCCCCAGTTCTAGGCCTTGGGCCTTGGATCGCATTTCTGGACCTGCCCTGGGCCAGAGGGAAGTCCACTACCCTGAAGATGAGTCCCAGGGCAGGGAGCATTCACCACAAGCTGACTGAAGAGCGCTTGGCCTTTAAGTGAACATCAGTGGTAGCCTAGCAGTACTCCCCATGGGTCTGTAGTGGTGGCAATGGGATGAGGCCCCTCTGCCTTTGGAAAAGGGAGGGAAGAGTGGGAAGGACTGTGTTTTGTGGTTTGAGTGCCAGCTCAGCCACAGTACAGTAGAACACTGAGTACACTTCTAAGGTTTTAAACTCCAGTCTCTGGCTCCTGGATGGCATCTGTGGACTTGCCTGGAGATTAGGGGAACTTGCCACCCTGAAGGGAAGGACACAAACCTGGCTGGCTTTGCCATGTGCTGATTGTAGAGCCCCAAGTCCTTGAGCAAACATAGGCAGTAGTCAGCGGTGATCACTGGCCTTGAGTGAGACCCAGTGCTATGCTGGCTTCAGGTCTGACCCAGCATAGCCCCAGTCGTGGCCACAGGGGTACTTGTGTCACCCAACCTCTAGCTCTAGATATCTCAGAACAGAGACAGACTCCATTTGTTTGGGAGAAAGAAAGGGACAAGAACAAGAGTATCTGTTGGTAATCCAGAGAATTCTTCTGGATCTTACCCAAGACCACCAAGGTGGTACCTCTTTGAGTTTGTAAGAACCACAGTATTACTGGACTTGGGGTGCCCCATAATGCAGATAAGGCTTAGATCACAACACTCAAGTCCCTTCAAATACTGGAAAGCCTTCCCAAGAAAGAGGGCTACAAACAAGCCCAGACTGTGGAGACTAAAATAAATATCTAATTCTTCAATGCCCAGACACTGATGAACATCCACAGCATTGAGACCAGCCAGGAAAACATGACCTCACCAAAGGAACTGAATAAGGCACTAGAGACCAATCCTGGGGAAACAGAGATATGTAACCTTTCAGACAAAGAATTCAAAATAGGTGTTTTGAGGAACTCAAAGAATTTCAAGACAATACAGAGAAGGAATTCAGAATGCTGTTGGATAAACTGAACAAAGAGATTGACATGATTAGAAAAAATCAAGCAGAAATTCCGGAGTTGAAATGCAATCGACATACCAAAGAGTGCATCAGAGTCTTTTAATGACAAAATTGATCAAACGGAAGAAGGAATAAGTGAGCTTGCAGACAAGCTATTTGAAAATACACAGAGGAGACAAAAGAAAAAATAATAAAAAACAACAAAGCATATTTTCTACAGGATGTAGAAAATAGTCTCGGAAGGGCAAATCTAAGAGATAAGGCATTAAAGAGGAGGTAGAGAAAGCGATAGAGGTAGAAAGTTTATTGAAAAGGATAATAACAGAGAAACTTCCCAAGCCTCAAGAAAGATATCAATATCCAAGTACAAGAAGGTTATAGAACACCAAACAGATTTAACTCAAAGAAGCCTACCTCAAGGCATTTAATGACCAAACTCCCCAAAGTCAAGGATAAATAAAGGATCCTAAAAGCGGCAAGAGAAAAAACAAACAAACAAATAACATACCATAGAGCACCAGTCCATCTGGCAGCAGACTTTTCAGTGGAAATCTTACAGGCCAGGAGAGAGTGGCATGGCATATTTAAAGTACTGAAGGAAAAAACACCTTTTACCTTAGTAGTATATCTGAAAAATATCCTTCAAACACAAAGGAGAAATGAGGACTGTCCCAGACAAAGGCTGAAGGATTTCATCATCACCAGACTTATCCTACAAGAAATGCTAAAGGGAGTACTTCAGTTTTTTAAAAAAAAGGATGTTAATGAGCAATAAGAAGTCATCTGAAGGTGTAAAACTTACTGGTAATGGTAAGTATATAGAAAAACACAGAATATTATAACACTATAACTGTGGTGTGTAATCTACTTCTATCCCAAGAAGAAAGACTAAATGAACCAATAAAAAATAACTACAACAGTTTTTCAAGACACAGTCAATACAATAAGATATAAATAGAAACAACAAGATAAAAAGTGGAGGGATACAGCACTTTGGGAGGCCAAGATGGGCAGATTACCTGAGGTCAGGAATTCGAGACCAGCCTGGCCAAAATGGTGAAACCCGTCTCTACTAAAAATACAAAAACTAGCCAGGCGTGGTGGCACAAGCCTGTAATCCCAGCTACTTGGGAGGTTGAGACAGGAGAATTGCTTGATCCTGGGAGACGGAGGTTGCAGTGAGTCAACATCACGCCACTGTACTTCAGCCTGGCCGGCAGAGCAAGACTGTCTCAAATAAATAAATAAATAAATAAAAGTGGAGGGATGAAGTTAAGGTGTAGAGCTTTTATCAGTTTTCTTTTTACTTTTTTATGTAAACAGTATTAGGTTGTTATCAACTTAAAATGATGGATTATAAGATAGTATTTGCAAGCCTTATGCTAACCTCAAATAAAAAAATACAATAGATATGCAAAACATAAGAAGCAAGAAATTAAACCATATTACCAGAGAAAATCACCTTCACTAGAGAGAGGACAGGAAGAAAAGAAAAAAGGAAGAGAAGACCGCAAAACAACCAGAAAACAAATAACAAAATGGAAGGAGTAAGTCTTTATTTATCAATAATAACATTAATGCAAATGGACAAAACTCTCCAATCAAAAGACATAGAATGGCTGAATGGATTAAAAAAACCAAGACCCAGTGATCTGTTGCCTGCAATAAATGCACTTTACTTATAAAGATAAATATAGATTGAAAGTAAGGGGATGGAAAAAGACATTCCATGCCAATGGAAACTAAAAAAGAGCAGGATTTGCAATACTTAGATCAGAAAAAATAGAATTCAAGACAAAACATTGAGAAGAGACAAAGTAAGGTCACTGTATAATGATAAAGGGGTCAATTCAGCAGGAGGATATGATTATTGTAAATATATATGCATCCAACACTGGGGCACCCAGATATATAAAGCAAATATTATTAGAGCTAAAGAGAAAGATCGATTCCAATAAAATAATAGCTGGAGACTTCAACACCACACTTTCAGCATTGGACAGATTTTCTAGAGAGAAAATCAACCAAGAAACATTGGACTTAATCTGCACTATAGATCAAATGGATCTAATAGATATTTACAGAACATTTCATCCAACAGCTACAGAAAACACATTCTTTTCTTCAGTACATGGATCGTTCTCAAGGATGGATCGGTATGTTAGGTCACAAAACAAGTCTTAGAGCATTCAAAAACTTGAAATAGTATCAAGCATGTTCTCTGACCACAATGGAATAAACTAGAAATCAATAACAAGAGTAATTTTGGAAACTATACAAACACATGGAAATTAAACAATATGCCCCGAATGACCAGTGGGTCAATGAAGAAATTAAGGAGGAAATTGAAAAATTTCTTTAAACAAATGATAATAGAAACACAACATACCAAAACCTGTGGGACACAGTGAAAACAATGCAGAGAGGGTAGCTGATAGCTCTAAGTGTCTACATCAAAAAAGAAGAAAAACTTCAAATAAATAACCTAAAGATGCATTTTAAGGAATTAGAAAAGCAAGCGGAAATTGAACCCAAAATTAGTAGAAAAAAAGAAATAATGAAAATCAAAGCAGAAATAAATGAATTTGAAATGAAGAAATTAATACAAAAGATCAATAAAATAAAAGTTGGTTTTTTAAAAAGATGAAAACAATTTGTAAAACTTTAGCCAGACTAGTAAGAAAAAAGAGAGAAGATCCAAACAGATAAAATTAGAGTTGAAGAAGCAGACATTACAACTGATACTGCAGAAATTGAAAGGATCATTAGTGGCTACTGTGAGCAACTATATGCCAGTAAATTGGAAAATCTAGAAGAAATGAGTGAATTTCTAGATACATACAACCTTCCAAGATTGAACCATGAAGAAATCCAAAATATGAACAGACCAATAACAAGTAGTGAGATCAAAGCTGTAATAAAAAGGCTGCCATCAACAATAAGCCCAGGACCTGAAGGCTTCACTGCTGAATCTACCAAATATATATTTAAATTTTTTTATTTCCATAGGTTATTGGGGAACAGGTGGTGATTGGTTCCATGAGTAAGTTGTTTAGTGGTGATTTGTGAGATTTTGGTGCACCCATCACTCGAGCAGTATTGAAGTTGATTGAAGAATTAATATTGCTAAAATGTCCATATTACTTAAAGCAATAGACAAGTTTAATGCAATCCCTATCCAAATACCAAGTGTGCAAGTCTCATCCAGGTTGCTGTGAATGCCATTAAGTCATTCCTTTCTATGGATGAGTAGTATTCCATTATATATATATAATGTTTTATATATTACATAATATTTTTATATATAATATTTCATATATATTTTATATATATATCATTTTCTTTATCCACTCATTAAATGATGGGCTTTTGATTGGTTCCACATTTTTGCAATTGAGAATTGTGATGCTATAAACATGCATGTGTAGGTATCTTTTTCGTATAATTACTTCTTTTACACTGCACTCAATTTGTAGTCTTTTATCCCTCACCCCTTTCCACCCTTTCCTCCTGAGTCCCCAAAGTCCATTGCATCATTCTTATGCCTTTGCATCCTCATAGCTTAGCTCCCACATATAAGTGAGAACATATGATGTTTGGTTTTCCATTCCTGAGTTACTTCACTTAGAATAATAGTCTCCAGTCTCACCCAGGTTGCTGTGAATGCCATTAATTCATTCCTTTCTATGGATGAGTAGTATTCCATTATTTATATGTATATAAAATATATATTTTATCTAATATATATATATTTAATTTTCTTTATCCACTCATTAAATGATGGGCTTTTGATTGGTTCCACATTTTTTGCAATTGAGAATTGCGGTGCTATAAACATGCATGTGCAAGTATCTTTTTCGTATAATTACTTCTTTTCCTCTGGGTAGACACCTAGTAGTGGGACTGCTGGATCAAATGGTAGTTCTACTTTTAGTTCTTTAAGGAATCTCCATACTTTTCCACAGTGGCTGTACTAGTTTACATTCCCACCAGTAGTGTAACTGTTCACCGCATTCACGCCAACATCTTTTATTTTTTTAATTTTTTGATTATGGCCATTCTTGTAAGAGTAAAGTGGTATTGCATTGTGGTTTTGATTTGCATTTCTCTAATCATTAGTGATGTTGAGCATTTTTTATATATTTGTGGCTCATTTGTATATCTTCTCTTAAGAATTGTCAATTCATGTTCTTAGCCCACTTTTTGATGCGATTGTTTGCTTTTTCTTGATAATTTGAGTTCATTGTAGATTCTAGATATTAGTCCTTTGTCAGATGTATAGTGAATCTACCAAATATTTAAAGAAGAACTAATACCAATCTTATTCAAGCTATTTTGAAAAAGGAAGAGGAGGGAATACATCCAAACTCATTATATGAGGCCAGTATTACCTGATACCAAAATCAGACAAAGGCACATAAAAAATCACTACAGGCCAATATATTTGATGAAAATTGACATAAAAATCTTCAAGAAAATATTAGCAAACTGAATTCAACAATACATTAAAAAGATCATTCATCATGACCAAGTGAGATTTATCCCAGGGATGTGAGGATGGTTCTACATTCACAAATCAGTCAATGTGATAAATCAAAACAACAGAATGAAGAACAAAAACCATATGATCATTTCAATGAATGCTGAAAAAGCATTTGATAAAACTCAACATCCCTTCATGATAAAATCCCCAAAAAGTAACTGGGTATAGAAGGAACATACCTCAACACAATCAAAGACATATATGACAGACCCATAGCTGGCATCATATTGAATGGGGAAAAGCTGAAAGCCTTTCCTCTAAGATCTTGAACATGACAAGGATACCCACTTTCACCACCGTTATTCAACATAGTACTGGAAGTCTTAGCTAGAGAAATCAGACGAGAAAGAAATAAAGGCCATCCAAACTGGAAAGGAAGAAATCAAATTATCCTTGTTTGCAGATGATGTGATCTTATATTTCAAAAAACCTAAAGACTCACCAAAAAAACTACTAGAACAGATAAGCAAATTCAGCAAAGTTGTAAAATACAAAATCGACATACAAAAATCAGTAGCATTTCCATGTGCCAACAGTGAACAATCTGAAAAGGAAATCAAGAAAGTAATCTTGTTTACAGTAGTTACAAATAAAATAAAATCTATTAGGATTTAACGAAAGACGTGAAAGATCTCTATAATGAAAACTAAAATATATTGATAAGAAATTGAAGAGGACACACAAAAACTGGAAAGATACTCCATGTTCATGGATTGAAGAATTAATATTGCTAAAATGTCCATATTACCTAAAGCAACAGACAAGTTTAATGCAATCCCTATCCAAATACCAATGATTTGGATCTACCAATCTATTTCTTATTCACAGAAATAGAAAAAACAATTCTAAAATTTATATAAAACCACAAAATATCCTGGTAGCCAAAGCTATCCTAAGCAAAAAGAACAAAACTGGAGGAATCACATTACCTGACTTTAAATTATACTACAAAGCTATAGTAACCAAAATGGCATGGTACTGGCATAAAAACAAACACATAAATCAGTGGAACAGAATAGATAACCCAGAGATAAATCCATACATATACAGTGAACTTATTTTTGACAGACGTGCCAGGAACATACATTGGGAAAAGGACCACCTCTTCAATAAACAGTGCTGGGAAAACTGGATATCCATATGAAAGAGAATGAAATTAGACCCTATCTCTCACCATATACAAAAATCAAACCAAAATGGATTAAAGACTTAAGTCTAAAACCTCAAACTATGAAACTACTAAAAGAGAACATCGGGGAAACTTTCTAGGACATTGGACCAAGTAAAGATTTCTTAAGTAATACCTCACAAACACAGGCAACCAAAGCAAAAATGGACAAATGGGATTACATAAAGTTAAAAAGCTTCTGAACAGCAAAGAAAACAATCAACAAAGTGAAGAGACATCCAACAGAATGGGAAAAAATATTTGCAAACTATCCCTCTGGCAAGTAATTAATAACCAGAATATATAAGGAGCTCAAACTACTCTATAGGAAAAAGAATGTTATAATCTGAATTAAAAATAGACAAAAATCTCAATAGACATTTCTCAAAAGAAGACATGCAGATGGAAAACAGGTGCTCAACATCATTGATCATCATAGAAATGCAAATCAAAACTACAGTGAGATACCATCTCATGCCAGTTAGAGTGGCTTTTATCCCAAAGTCAGGCAATCACAAATGCTGGCGAGGTTGTGGAGAAAAGGGAATTCTGGTACGCTGTTGTTGGGAGTGTAAATTAGTAAAACCACTATGGAGAACAGTTTGGCGGCTCCTCATAAAAGTAAAAATAGAGCTACCATATGCTCCAGCAATCCCACTGCTGGGTATGTCCCCTCGCAAAAAGGAAAGCATTATATTGAAGAGATATCTGCACTTCCATGTTAATTGCAGCACTGTTCAAAATAGCGAAGATTGGGAAGCAATCTTAAGTGTCCATCAACAGATGAATGGATAAAGAAAATGTGGTACATATACAGAATGGAGTACTAATCAGCCATGAAAAAGAATAAGATCTCATCATTTGTCTGGAACTGAAGGTCATTATGTTAAATGAAATAAGCTGGGCACAAAAGAACAAACTTCATATCTTCTCACTTATTTGTGGGAGCTAAAAATGAAAATGATTGAACTCATGGGGAGTAGAAGGCTGGATACCAGGGGCTGGGAAGGGTAGTTGGCGAGTGTGCAGGGCAGAAGTGGGGATGGTTAATGGTTAGAAAGAATGAATAAGACCTAGTATTTGCTAGCACAACAGGGTGACTGTGGTAAAATAATTTGTGTACATTAAAAAATAACTAAAAGAGTATAATTGGATTGCTTGTAACACAAAGGATAAATGCTTGAGGTGATGGACATCCTGTTTACCCTGATGTGACTATTATTCATTGCATGCCTGTATCAAAATATTTCATGTAACCTGTAAATATAGACACCACTATCTACCCACAAAAATTAACAATAAAATAATAAAGTAGAGCAGAACCAGCAGACAATGACTGAAGGTACAGATGGCAAAGGAGAAGCAGGGGAATGACTGTCTGCCTTCCTCCTATTTCTACTCCAGCATCCCTGTTCTAGCTCTTGCCATCTTGTACCCAAATGACTCGTAGATCCCTCCACTGCATCCTTAGCTAATGGTTTGTTCCATTGTTTTCATATACACCAAAGCTCTGCTATATGTGACCTTGTTATATTCTCAGCAGTCCAAAATGTAAATGTCTTATTTAAAATTTAGAATAAATATCAGACCCAGTAGCTGTCCAAAAATTCTAGGGTCAAATGAAAAAGATCTATACAAAAAAGAATTTTTTTATAAAAAAGTAGGGTGAATGGAGTTAGCTATGTCAAATACCCAGATTTGGTTGTCATTATAGCACCACGGAGACACCTGAAACAATCTAAATTAAGTCTGAGGAAAACTCTAATCCTTAAAGTCTGAAAAAGAGTAGAAATAGCCCATCTCGTTCGAGGCCATCCTAGAATTTTCTAAGTTTTTAGGTGATTTATCGCCGTCCTGGAATAGGGGAAGTACTCATGTATTTGCAGAGTCAAATTCAATGGAATTTCCCCCACTCAGCAACACTCTTGGAATGGCACTACCCCTTAGTGTTAGCTGAAAGGTCAGGCCTAAGCTGACACGTTGGTTTCTCCAGAAATGTCTTTTTTCCCAGACAAAGGAAAGCACATTCATAGCTGATGATCTGAGCCAAATATACGTTCTCTTGAGAATTTAAGCTGATGGTTTCTGAGGGTCTTACTAATTTAGTTGTCAGGAACAAAAGGATCAGGTCAGGTGAAAATGGAGTCTCCGACAGCTAAAGCTATAGGCAGACCAAAGTGATGAGGGGCAAGGGAGGCCATAATCCTGGAACAGAGGAAGCTGTTTTGCATGGAGAAAGGTGCAGGGAGGAGCAAATGGGAAGGCATCACTCTAGAGACATCAAAGTTTCCTGTTCTCGGAGGTTTGGCTTGACTTCACCCTTCTTCCCATGAAAATCTGTAGTGTCCTTTCAGTAAATTTTCTTTCCTTAAACTAGTTTGTATGGATTTCTGTTTCTTGCTATCAGACCTAACAAAAAGAGAAATGTATTTGAATAATATACCTATAATATCTCATTGGGAGGAATAAGATTACATTAAATGAGGGAGACACTATTGACATGTTGTATCTCTTTAAATGGCAATATAAAATCAGTGCAACCACATTCCAACTGTCTTATTCTTGAATTATTACTCATGTTTCAAAATAGAACATTTGTAGGACTGATAGTAAAATATTTTTTTAAAAATAAAAGTCTGTATTATCTCTGAAGTTAGTACAAATTATCTTAAACTGCTTTTATGTACTTGTTAGTCCCATTACTCATCACAATTTTTCCAATCATGGAACCTCTAATAACATAATTAGGATAGGAAGGATATAAGTGGATTTTCTATATTTTTATCAGGAAAATCTGAATGTTCTATAGGGGTCCATCAGAAATGTGTTTGGTGAAAAGGCCCCAAAACTCTGATTATGTGACAACTTCCTTGTTCTTATGAACCTTTCAGGTTTACCACAGATAGCATAATCACCTCCTTGATTTATTTGATGAAAATTACCTCATAAGCCCAACTCGACCTTAGATAGTTCATCAGAGTGGATCCAGGGATGCTGCAAAGTAAACACTGATTATAAGAGAAGGTGTTGACACCGCAGCTCAGGGCAAGCACTTGCCTGAGATGAAGAATAAAGGTAGAGAGACCTCAATCAGTGTCAAAAGAAATGCCATCATTAGGGTCATATAATTTTGTTTTGTTTGGTTTTGTATCATTAAAAAGTCCTCTCTATAATAGGAATAAGGATATTTAGAAGGAAAAGACTTGTATGGAACTCTGTGAGTTGACAGTGTTTTCCTTCAGTGGGTTTGAATATTCCCTGTGCTGATCCACACCTCTGTCTGAATCAGTGACCCTTGGCAAGGTGAGGTGGATAAGGTATAGGGTGAGTGGTACAAACCTCCAGTATCTTACCCCTTAAAATATTAGTGGAGCTTTATTCTGGGGAGAAGAGGGATCGAGACTGGGTGATAGAAGTATCTAGAGCTACCCTTGGGTTAGGCAAAGAACGTTTGGAGGTCACAGTTCAGCAAGATGGGAATGTGTAGGGGCATGAGATGTATTGATGAGATGGGAGTTGAAGGGACAAGAGAAATCCTCCTTTCTCATATAACCCCTTCGTTCTCCCCTCCTCCTGCTCTCTTCTGCTTGTTTTACTAAATAATAATGAAGAATCATTGTTATCCCAGGCTCTGCTTTAGGCAATCATATCCAACTCCTGACCAATTCACTCCACAGTCCTGAGAAGATTATATGAGTCTGCCTGGGAAAATGGTCTAATTAGTGTGAACTCCCAGCATGTCAGTGAAAACCAGCTATGGTGATTGTGGGTTCAGAAAAAGAATATCCACTAGAAGGACTTAGAAATAACACATGGAGAAGTTGTCATTTGCTGTGGCTAGGCACATACATTTTTTATAATTTATATTGAATTGATCATTTATTTTCCAAGTATTTTTTCAAAAGACAGGCAGAGATCGAATGAGTTTCTAAAAACGTGATTACTTGAAGAATTATTTCACTAATCCACACTAGCAAATATCAAAATTGGGAGCGTTACAAGAATCATCAATTATGTATTACAAGTGGTTCTCAGGGGCTGTAGTTCCAGCATGTCCTACACGAATCCAATTTGTTTTCTGCATTCTAGAGTGCTGGACTGTTGATAATTACTTTTATGTCAACTTTTCACCAAAAGATATATGTGGTATTCCTTTGCTTATAGTACGAATACATTATTTGACTATAGGAGTTAGTTATCAATTCAGTCTATTTGCTTTGAGAAGAGGAGATTGTTATCTTTTCTTGAGAGGGATCAACTTTTGCCTCTATAGTATTACAAATTGTTTCTCTTGGATACATCTGGTATATTGAAGTACTCAATTTGTTTTATGATGTGCTTTTAGAACTTGAAAGAATTTTATTGGAGAGTTCTAGGTTTTTTATTAAAATTAAAATGTAACTTACTAGGCATAAATTACTGTGTGATAATTATTTCCTCTAGAAGTAATATAAAATGAAATATTCCCAGTGTTAGCTCATTATTTACACTCTGGTTTGTGGTTTTTATTTTCTTTAGTTTTATTTATTGTTCTGAAATAATCCTAGAAAAATTAATGTGCTTTGTTGAGAGATTAATTAAACACCCAATAAAATTTACTTTTATATTAGAGAACAGATATTCTAGTTGTTTATTTAGTATTGAGATAAATTGATGAATGATAAGGTTAAATATGCTTGGATTTTTTTGAATAAGAAAATAAGATTAGTATTCCACACAAAGCCTTAACATTTATTACACATAGAGAAAATTATTGTATAACAATGTGGTTTGTTATTTTATGGATCGTATGTTATTTGGAAAGTAGACAGATAGATGAATAACATTATTTCTGTGCCAAAAATACTAAAACTAAAGATAATCACAAACGAATTAACTCTATGTAATTCAAAGGGAATTGCTGTGAAATTTACAATAAATACCTTAACTTGAATTGCTTCTTTGGAGAGCAAATTTCCCCTCCCTCTGGTTGTGAGTTATGAGTAAATATAATACAAATGGTCACTGACTCAAAAAAATTTATGGAATTTATGTCACTGATGTCTTGATATTCATAAATGTATATTTACTGATGAGGAAATTAACACACTTAAATAATTTTTTTATTTTATAAGGTGATACTTTTAAATATTTTTTGATATAGCAGAGGGTTTTGATTTTTACAAAAGGCCTCAAATTAAGGGCAATTAGTGCTTATGATTAGCCTTTCCCCCCTTTAGGTTGGTAAAGCTAAATTTATTACATTTGAAAGTCAAGCATTATAGAACAGGATGTTCTTATTTGACATTTAGTGCTCTTTTATTTTTATGCACTGTTACAAAACTTTCTTGTGCTTTCTTGACAAAAGGAAGTTAGTTTGGCAAACTATTTTTTTTCTGATCTCATTTTATTTTAAAAAAATGCTTAGTGTTTTTGTAGCATCAAAGTGGCAAAAATAGAATTTGAATTCATATTTGTAGGGTCTGTGGCAGGTCTAGAAAACAACCCTAGCACACAAGTCAGAAATTGTAGGTCATTTAGGGAAATGGAGTTGACGAAGTCAGGCTTCAAGGTCATTATACTGGTTGTATCTGAGAGTCAAAGCTAGGAATTTTATAAAGAGCATCATAACTGATCTTCCTTTATACCCCTTCAAACCTCTGTATTTATAACTAACTCATTCTGATTATATGAGGATCTGCAAGTAGAATAAAGATAGCTACAACTTTTTTGTACTGTGATTAAAAATGAAAGCAATTAAACACTTTTATTGTTTGCTTTATTAACTATAAATTAGTGTTCAGAATTTTTATTAAGATATGCTTACTTCCTTATAACTTCTACTACACTAGACATTTAATCTAGAAATAAACGTAAAAAGCCAATTTTCTTTTTTTTGCCAGAAGTCAATCTGATGTTGTAAAATGTCATATGTTACCTGTCAGTATAGTGATTTTTATGTTTTAATTCAAATGCTTTTCAGCTGGAGTTGCCAAAGTTCAGTAAGAATTTGCAAAGCATTTCTATGCCAAGAACTGTACAGAATTAAAAAAATGACAGATTGTAATCTGGTGGGGAGATACCCATATATGTTAACTATAGGATAAGTATGGGTAAAACAAGTAAGAGAGGTAAAATAAATTAGAATGATTAAGAAACGTAGCATTCATTTTGACTGAGTCCTTGGAGTAGAGGCAGTATTCAAAAGAGCTTCTTTTTTTTTTAAATATTATTATACTTTAAGTTTTAGGGTACATGTGCACAATGTGCAGGTTAGTTACATATGTATACATGTGCCATGCTGGTGCACTGCACCCACTAACTTGTCATCTAGCATTAGGTATATCTCCTAATGCTATCCCTCCCCCCCCTCCCCCCACCCCACAACAGTCCCCAGAATGTGATGTTCCCCTTCCCGTGTCCATGTGTTCTCATTGTTCAGTTCCCATCTATGAGTGAGAACATGCGGTGTTTGGTTTTTTGTCCTTGCGATAGTTTACTGAGAATGATGATTTCCGATTTCATCCATGTCCCTACAAAGGACATGAACTCATCATTTTTTATGGCTGCATAGTATTCCATGGTGTGTACGTGCCACGTTTTCTTAATCCAGTCTATCATTGTTGGACATTTGGGTTGGTTCCAAGTCTTTGCTATTGTGAATAGTGCTGCAATAAACATACGTGTGCATGTGTCTTTATAGCAGCATGATTTATAATCCTTTGGGTATATACCCAGTAATGGGATGGCTGGGTCAAATGGTATTTGTAGTTCTAGATCCCTGAGGAATCGCCACACTGACTTCCACAATGGTTGAACTAGTTTAAAGTCCCACCAACAGTGTAAAAGTGTTCCTATTTCTCCACATCCTCTCCAGCACCTGTTGTTTCCTGACTTTTTAATGATTGCCATTCTAACTGGTGTGAGATGGTATCTCATTGTGGTTTTGATTTGCATTTCTCTGATGGCCAGAGATGATGAGCATTTTTTCATGTGTCTTTTGGCTGCATAAATGTCTTCTTTTGAGAAGTGTCTGTTCATATCCTTCACCTACTTGTAGATGGGGTTGTTTGTTTTTTTCTTGTAAATTTGTTTGAGTTCTTTGTAGATTCTGGATATTAGCCCTTTGTCAAATGAGTAGGTTGCCAAAATTTTCTCCCATTCTGTAGGTTGCCTGTTCACTCTGATGGTGGTTTCTTTTGCTGTGCAGAAGCTCTTTAGTTTAATTAGATCCCATTTGTCAATTTTGGCTTTTGTTGCCATTGCTTTTGGTGTTTTAGACATGAAGTCCTTGCCCATGCCTATGTCCTGAATGGTAATGCCTAGGTTTTCTTCTAGGGTTTTTATGATTTTAGGTCTAACGTTTAAGTCTTTAATCCACCTTGAAGTAATTTTTGTATAAGGTGTAAGGAAGGGATCCAGTTTCAGCTTTCTACATATGGCTAGCCCATTTTCCCAGCACCATTTATTAAATAGGGAATCCTTTCCCCATTGCTTGTTTTTCTCAGGTTTGTCAAAGATCAGATAGTTGTAGATATGTGGCATTATTTCTGAGGGCTCTGTTCTGTTCCATTGATCTATATCTCTGTTTTGGTACCAGTACCATGCTGTTTTGGTTACTGTAGCCTTGTAGTATAGTTTGAAGTCAGGTAGTGTGATGCCTCCAGCTTTGTTCTTTTGGCTTAGGATTGACTTGGCGATGCAGGCTCTTTTTTGTTTCCATATGAACTTTCAAGTAGTTTTTTCCAATTCTGTGAAGAAAGTCATTGGTAGCTTGATGGGGATGGCATTGAATCTACAACTTACCTTGGGCAGTATGGCCATTTTCACGATATTGATTCTTCCTACCCATGAGCATGGAATGTTCTTCCATTTGTTTGTATCCTCTTCTATTTCATTGAGCAGTGGTTTGTAGTTCTCCTTGAAGAGGTCTTTCACGTCCTTTGTAAGTTGGATTCCTAGGTATTTTATTCTCTTTGAAGCAATTGTGAATGGGAGTTCACTCATGATTTGGCTCTCTGTTTGTCTGTTACTGGTGTATAACAATGCTTGTGATTTTGTGCACTGATTTTGTATCCTGAGACTTTGCTGAAGTTGCTTATCAGCTTAAGGAGATTTTGGGCTGAGACAATGGGGTTTTCTAGATATACAATCATGTCATCTGCAAACAGGGACAATTTGACTTCCTCTTTTCCTAACTGAATACCCTTTATTTCCTTCTCCTGCCTAATTGACCTGACCAGAATTTCCAACACTATGTTGAATAGGAGTGGTGAGAGAGGGCATCCCTGTCTTGTGCCGGTTTTCAAAGGGAATGCTTCCAGTTTTTGCCCATTCAGTATGATATTGGCTGTGGGTTTGTCATAGATAGCTCTTATTATTTTGAGATACGTCCCGTGAATACCTAATTTATTGAGAGTTTTTAACATGAAGGGTTGTTGAATTTTTTCAAAGGCCTTTTCTGCATCTATTGAGATAATCATGTGGTTTTTGTCTTTGGTTCTGTTTATATGCTGGATTACATTTATTGATTTGTGTATATTGAACCAGCCTTGCATCCCAGGGATGAAGCCCACTTGATCATGGTGGATAAGCTTTTTGATGTGCTGCTGGATTCGGTTTGCCAGTATTTTATTGAGGATTTTTGCATCAATGTTCATCAAGGATATTGGTCTAAAATTCTCTTTTTTGGTTGTGTCTGTGCGCGGCTTTGGTATCAGTATGATGCTGGCCTCATAAAATGAGTTAGGGAGGATTCCCTCTTTTTCTATTGATTGGAATAGTTTCAGAAGGAATGGTACCAGTTCCTCCTTGTACCTCTGGTAGAATTCGGCTGTGAATCCATCTGGTCCTGGACTCTTTTTGGTTGGTAAGCTGTTGATTATTGCCACAATTTCAGATCCTGTTATTGGTCTATTCAGAGATTCAATTTCCTCCTGGTTTAGTCTTGGGAGAGGGTATGTGTGGAGGAATTTATCCATTCTAGATTTTCTAGTTTATTTGCATACAGGTGTTTGTAGTATTCGCTGATGGTAGTTTGTGTTTCTGTGGGATTGGTGGTGATGTCCCCTTTATCATCTTTTATTGCGTCTATTTGATTTTTCTCTCTTTTATTCTTTATTAGTCTTGCTAGCAGTCTGTCAATTTTGTTGATCCTTTCAAAAAACCAACTCCTGGATTCATTAATTTTTTGAAGGGTTTTTTGTGTCTCTATCTCCTTCAGTTCTCCTCTGATTTTGGTTATTTCTTGCCTTCTGCTAGCTTTTGAATGTGTTTGCTCTTGCTTTTCTAGTTCTTTTAATTGTGATATTAACCTCTAGCAAACTCCAA
Organism: Homo sapiens; assembly: GCF_000001405.40. Taxonomy (NCBI): domain Eukaryota; kingdom Metazoa; phylum Chordata; class Mammalia; order Primates; family Hominidae; genus Homo; species Homo sapiens. The sequence goes on from NW_003315918.1 coordinate 59,203, forward strand.
CAGACCTGCAGCTGAGGGTCCTGTCTGTCAGAAGGAAAACTAACAAACAGAAAGGACATCCACACCAAAAATCCATCTGTACATCACCATCATCAAAGACCAAAAGTAGATAAAACCACAAAGATGGGGAAAAACAGAGCAGAAAAAACTGGAAACTCTAAAAAGCAGAGCACCTCTCCTCCTCCAAAGGAACGCAGTTCCTCACCAGCAATGGGACAAAGCTGGACGGAGAATGACTTTGACAAGTTGAGTGAAGAAGGCTTCAGATGATCAAACTACTCTGAGCTACAGGAGGAAATTCAAACCAAAGGCAAAGAGGTTGAAAACTTTGAAAAGAATTTAGACGAATGTATAACTAGAATAACCAATACAGAGAAGTGCTTAAAGGAGCTGATGGAGCTGAAAGCCAAGGCTCGAGAACTATGTGAAGAATGCAGAAGCCTCAGGAGCCGATGTGATCAACTGGAAGAAAGGGTATCAGTGATGGAAGATGAAATGAATTAAATGAAGCGAGAAGGGAAGTTTAGAGAAAAAAGAGTAAAAAGAAACGAACAAAGCCTCCAAGAATTATGGGACTATGTGAAAAGACCAAATCTACGTCTGATTGGTGTACCTGAAAGTGACAGGGAGAATGGAACCAAGTTGGAAAACACTCTGCAGGATATTATCCAGGAGAACTTCCCCAATCTAGCAAGGCAGGCCAACATTCAGATTCAGGAAATACAGAGAGTGCCACAAAGATACTCCTCGAGAAGAGCAACTCCAAGACACATAATTGTCAGATTCACCAAAGTTGAAATGAAGGAAAAAATGTTAAGGGCAGCCAGAGAGAAAGGTCGGGTTACCCACAAAGGGAAGCCCATCAGACTAACAGTGGATCTCTCGGCAGAAACTCTACAAGCCAGAAGAGAGTGGGGGCCAATATTCAACATTCTTAAAGAAAAGAATTTTCAACCCAGAATTTCATATCCAGCCAAACTAAGCTTCATAAGTGAAGGAGAAATAAAATCCTTTACACACAAGCAAATGCTGAGAGATTTTGTCACCACTAGGCCTGCCCTAAAAGAGCTCCTGAAGGAAGCACTAAACATGGAAAGGAACAACCGGTACCAGCCGCTGCAAAATCATGCCAAAATGTAGAGACCATCGAGACTAGGAAGAAACTGCGTGAACTAACGAGCAAAATAACCAGCTAACATCATAATGACAGGATCAAATTCACACATAGCAATATTAACTTTAAATGTAAATGGACTAAATGCTCCAATTAAAAGACACAGACTGGCAAATTGGATAAAGAGTCAAGACCCATCAGTGTGCTGTATTCAGGAAACCCATCTCACATGCAGAGACACACATAGGCTCAAAATAAAAGGATGGAGGAAGATCTACCAAGCAAATGGAAAACAAAAAAAGGCAGGGGTTGCAATCCTAGTCTCTGATAAAACAGACTTTAAACCAACAAAGATCAAAAGAGACAAAGAAGGCCACTACATAATGGTAAAGGGATCAATTCAACAAGAAGAGCTAACTATCCTAAATATATATGCACCCAATACAGGAGCACCCAGATTCATAAAGCAAGTCCTGAGTGACCTACAAAGAGACTTAGACTCCCACACAATAATAATGGGAGACCTTAACACCCCACTGTCAACATTAGACAGATGAACAAGACAGAAAGTTAAAAGGATACCCAGGAATTTTACTCAGCTCTGCACCAAGTGGACCTAATAGACATCTACAGAACTCTCCACCCCAAATCAACAGAATATACATTTTTTTCAGCACCACACCACACCTATTCCAAAATTGACCACATACTTGGAAGTAAAGCTCTCCTCCTCAGCAAATGTAAAAGAACAGAAATTATAACAAACTATCTCTCAGACCACAGTGCAATCAAACTAGAACTCAGGATTAAGAAACTCACTCAAAACCGCTCAACTACATGGAAACTGAACAACCTGATCCTCAATGACTGCTGGGTACATAACGAAATGAAGGCAGAAATAAAGTTGTTCTTTGAAACCAACAAGAACAAAGACACAACATACCAGAATCTCTGGGACACATTCATAGCAGTGTGTAGAGGGAAATTTATAGCACTAAATGCCCACAAGAGAAAGCAGGAAAGATCCAAAATCAAAAGAGCTTCTTAATGTTCAGACAAAACCTTGAAAGATAATTGGGACCGGTGTGGGAACATTCCAGGGACAGGTATGTGATGAAGTGGCCTAACATGAGTTAAAGTTTAGCCACTGGTGAACCCCAGATATATTCAGAAGCATAGAATAATCCAGTTTTATGGCAAATAGACTTTTAGGGGAAATTACTCTTTACTAAAAGAGTAAATTGAGACTGGATCATGGATGGCATTGAAAGTTGTGCTATGGAATCTTGACTTAATTCTGTGGATTATAGGGATTCTCTGAAAGTTTTTGAGTATAGGAATAATCTTTAAGAGCAATAACTCTGCTAACAGTAGAAAAACTGTAGGTGTGACAGAAGGAGAGAGGGAGGAAAAGAGAGGGGCCAGGCAAAGGGAAATATTTCTTAGGAAAACACAAATAGTTCAGAGACCATGGACTAAGTTGAGACTATTGATAAGAAAGAATTTCTGAGTAATGTAACTGGTGTTTCATGGCTGATTGGCCAGGGAAGAGGAAAAGAGGACAAGAGGAGGCGGCAAAACTTTCTCCCCTCAATGTTTTGACTTAGTTACTGGAAGAATAGTGATGCTATTAGCCAAAGTCAAGAATGTTGGAAGACAATTGGGGATGATACAATTCCCTTTTGGTCATGCTATATGGGATTAGTGGGATGTTCTTGTGGGGAAATCAAGCTCAAGAATTGTGGTGGAAGTAAGAGTGATAAAGGTCTGTTTATGTTGTGTCTTCATACATTTGAAGGAAACAGATATGTGGAGCAATTGCAGGAGAAGAAAGGCAAAGAGATGACAGAACAGGGTCATGAGAAGAAACAGATTAAAGAAGGAAGGAATGGTAAATAGTGTTGGATGGTATAGATTAGAAAAGTGGATTGAAAATTGAGAGTTCTTTGGCTTTGCTGATTAATGGATCATTGGTGACTTTCAAGAAGGTGATTTCTAGATAAGCAAGAATAGTCCATTGAAATAGCATCAAAACTAAGGATAATACATATGTTCTAGAACTTTTTTTTTTTTTTTCTGAAAGGGTTGAAGATGAACAGGTTTGGTATCTCTTTTTTGTCCTACACTGTGGTTCTTGATTCCTAACACCCATTATAGAGGCATGGGTTGAGGGCTGGTTGAAGTTCCAGCTCCTCTGCTTGTATGTTCCTGCTCATGTTATTTAAACCCTCAAAACCAAAGTTTCTTCATCTGCTAAATAAAAATAATATATTTACCTCTTAGATTGTCAGGAATGAGCTAAAACATGGGAAAATATTTCATAAACTATAAAATACTTCTGTACAGTGTTGCTGTTACAATATCTGTATTGACTTTTGATGAAGTGGTAAATACAGAATTAAAAAATGGCAGTTGGCTGGGTGTGGTGGCTCACGCCTGTAATCCCAGCTCTTTGGGTGGCTGAGGTGGGTGGATTGCCTGAGATCAGGAGTTCAAGACCAGCCTTGCCAACATAGTGAAACCCTGCCTCTACTAAAAATAGAAAAAATTAGCTGGACATGGTTGCAGGCACCTGTAATCCCAGCTACTAGGGAGGCTGAGGCAGGAGAATTGCTTGAACCCCGGAGGTGGAGGTTGCAGTGAGCCGAGATCATGCCATTGCACTCCAGCCTGGGCAACAGGAGCAAAACTTCCTCTCAAACAACAACAACAACAACAGGGTAATCTGTTTCTTGTTATTGCTTGCTGAGTGACTCTCTCTCTTGCTCTCTCTTTCTCTCTCTCTCCCTCTCTCTCCCTCTCTCTCCCTCTCTTTCTCTCTCTCTCCCTCTCTCTCCCTCTCTCTCCCTCTCTCTCCCTCTCTCTCTCTCTCTCTCGCCCGCTCATTCTTTTTTTCATTTTGGATTTGTTACAAAGTGACTGCTGCAGTTGTGCTTTCTGTCCCTTCTTTCTCCCTAGGTCTCCTCGTTGTTAATTTCTCTCCTTCATCTTTTAAACTTTCATTCCTGTTTTCTCCTTCAGCTTCTCTCTCTTTCTCAATCACATTTTTATTCTTGTATTCAGTAAATATTTATTGAGAACCTACTATGTGCTAGGAACTCTTGGGATGTGGGGATATGCTAGTCTGTAGCCTTTGTATTTATGTGTGTTTACCAAGACAATTTTATGAGAACTTGCACTTACCTCTCTGGATTAATGTGTCTCACTCTGATAACACTCATTATTCATATTCTGGTCATCAGTGTAATTCAGATTTACTCTCCTCTGACCCACTTCATTTTGTCCAAACTCTGATCAATTTAATCAGATTTAGCAGAGATATTTAAAAAGCATTTTGAAGAGTATGCAGAAACTGTTGAATATTGTTTGCATAGTGATTTTCACTAGATTGGGGTAAACACAGCTCCCTATATGTGTTCTTCAGGATTTGAGGGGAGAAAATTTTTCCAAAATATATATATTTCAACTTGCAGGTTATCAAACACTCATGTCCCTCCTCTGTCCCAGAGATAAGCCCCCTATTCACCACCCCTGCTGCTCTATTGAAAGATGTTCTATATTTAAGATCATATCTTGATGGGAACTTGCCAGATTCTTCTATTAACATGTCATCTTCATTTCACTGGACTAGATAACTCATAGTCTCTTCTTTCTTGCCAGGATAGTCAATATTTATGATTTAATTCTGGTCATGTTCACAAAACATTTTTTCCTGACACACCCTTAAGTGTGTTAGGATTAGTAAAAACAACAACAATAACAAAATCCCTGAAAATCATTGATCTATTGGATGGATATAAAAAGACATATGTATGTCAGTGGGTATAAATATATAATTTGACTTCTATAATGAACAAATTTCCTGAAATCATATATATCAACATTTAATAAATGTTAAATTATAAGTGTAGTCTTCAAATTTTGTGACCTAATGCAAAACCAAGTGCCTTTAAAAAATATCTATAAAATGGACAGGCATGGTGGCTCACGCCTTTAATCCCAGCACTTTGGGAGGCCGAGGGGGGTGGATCACGAGTTCAAGAGATGGAGACCATCCTGGCCAACATGGTGAAACCCTGTCTCTACTAAAAATACAAAAATTGGCTGGGTGTGGTGGTGGCACACGCCTGAAGTCCCAGCTACTCAGGAGGCTGAGGCAGGAAAATTGCTTGAATCCGAGAGGCGGAAGTTGTAGTGAGCCGAGATCATGCCACTGCACTCCAGCCTGGTGACAGAGTGAGACTCCGTCTCAAAAAAACAAACAAAATCTATAAAATGAGAGATAGAAATGTCCTGTCTCTAAAATGTCATGATTCTCAGTCTCCAGAGATTCTTAATTTTTTTTCTTATAACAGCTTCATTGAGATATAATTCACATACTATACAATTCACTCATAACCCCCAAAAGAAACCCTGTACCCATTACCATTCAGTCTCTATTACCTCCAGTCCCCTGAACCCTAGGCAACCACTAATCTGTGTTCTGTCACTATTGTTTTTCTGAGCATTTAATATAAATGGAATTACAGTATGTAATCTTATGTGTCTGACTTAGCATGATGTTTTCAGGGTTCATCTATGTTATAACATGTATTAGTACTTCATTAATTTTTATTGCCAAATAATATTCCTTATATGAATATACCATGTTTTATTTATTCACTCATTGATTTATGAGCATTTGAATTGTTGCCACTTTTATGAATTATAGTGTTACTATGAACAATTGTGTTCATTTGTACATGTGTTTTTATTTCTCTTGGGCATATAACCAGGAGTGGAATTGCTAGATCATATGGAAGCTCTATGTTTAGCTTTTCAAGGAACTTCCAGACTATTTTCCAAAGTGGATATACTATTTTATATTCCCACCAGCAGTGTATGAATATCCTAGTTTTTCCACATCCTTGTCAACACTTGTTATTTTCCATTTTCTTGATTGTAGTTATGTTAGTGAGTGTGAAATATTATTTCATTGTGGTCTTGATTTGCATTTCCCTAATGGATAATGATGTTGATCTTCTTTTCATGTGCTTATTGGCCATGTGTTTATCTTCTTTGGAGAAATGTCTGTTCATATCCTTTGCCCATTTTTAAATTGGCTCATTAGTTTTTACATTATTTAGCTTTTATTATTGTGCTAAATATTGTGTGTAAATATTGTGTGTATTGTGTGTAAAAGTTCTTTATATATTCTAGATACAAGTCCCTTATCAAACATGATTTGCAAATAGCTTTTCCTGTTCTGTGGGGTGCCTGTTCACTTTCTTGTTGGTATCCTTTGAAACGCAAATTATTTCACATTAATTTTGATGAAGTACCGTTATTTTTTCTTTTCTTGCTGTGCTTTTTGTGTCAGACACCATTGTCTAATTCAAGTTCCTGGAGAATCATACCTGTGTTTTCTTCTAAGAGTTTTATAGCTTTAGCTTTTACCTTTAGTTCTTTGATGTATTTTGAGTTAATTTTTTATATAATATGTGGTAGGAGTCCAACTTTAATTTTTTCTATGAAGATATACAATTTTCCCAGTTGTCCCAACCATATGTTGAAAGACTATTTTTTCCCCATTTTATTTTCTTGGCACCTTTGTCAAAAATTAATTGACCATAAGTGTTAGGCTTTACTCATGGACTCTCAGTTCTATTCCATTTATCTGTATTTCTGTTCTCATGACAATACTACATTATCTTGTTTACTTAGCATTGTAGCAAGTTTTTATTAATAAATTATGAAGTGTGAGTACTTCAATTTTGTTCTTTCTCAAAATTGTTTTGGCTATTCTGGTTCCTTTGAATTTCCATATGAATTTTAGGAATAGCTTGTGCATTTTTACAAAGAAGCTAACTGGGATTCTGATAGAGTGTTAAATCTGGGGAGCATTGCCATCTTAATGATATTAAATCCTCTGATCCATGAATATGGGATGTCTTTCTATTTATCTTCATAATTTCTTTCAAAATGTTATATAGTTTTCAGAGTATAAATTTTGCTTATTTTTAAAAATTTATTTACGAGTATTTTATTGTTTTTCAAGCTATTGTAAATGAATTATTTTTTTCGTTTGTTTTAAATTTCCTTATTGGTTACAAATAGAAATTAATTTATATATTAATCTTGTCCTGCAATCTTGTAGAACTTGTTTATTAGTTTTAGTAGTTTTGTAGTGGATTCCTTAGGGTTTTCTATATTCAAGACCATGTCATTTGCAAGTAGAGATAACTTTATTTCTTCCTTTCCAATCTGGATGACTTTCATATTATTCTCTTGGTAATTGTCCTGGCAAGAATCTCTAGTGCAGTGTTGAATAGATGTGAAGAGAGCAAACATCCTTGCTTGTTCCTGATCTTAGGGTCAGGGGGAAGTATTCATCCTTCACCATTAAGTATGATGCTGGGTAGCTATGAGTTTTTTTGGATGCCCTTTACCATGTTGAGGATGCTCCCTTTTAATCTTAATTTGTTGGATGCTTCTTTGCTTCCTCTGCCTAGAATGCCCTTTGTCCTTTCTTCTACCTGGTGGATTCCCTCTTATTCTCTAAGACCAGCTTAAATGTCTCCACTTAATAAAGCTGATCCTCTCCTCTTTTCCACTACTGACTTGTAGGGTTATAAGTTGTATAGGAATGGAATAAATTGACTTTGAGTCGCTTTTTAAAAGGCTTTCTCAATTTGGAAAATGTCCAATTTTGAAATTAAGATACTAAGATTATAGAGCCCCCCACAGATTATTCCATTCAACTTGTTCTAGTATTGATTTTCAAGCACAAAAACTCAGTGAATTTAACAAGCAGAAATGCATTTGCCAAGTACAAATGGATCCACATCTCTTTGCATAGTTAGTAATCTACACATTTACAAAAATCTAATAAAAATGTTTCTTGAAGATGACTAGATCTAAAATGATAAATATTGAATATCCTGGCAATTAGGAAGAGAATGTGAGTTATCTGATCCAGTGAAATGAAATTTTGCATTAAGAGGCATGTTAATTGAAAGCTGAAGATTAATGCTTTTTACTCACATATGTGTTAAGTTACAATTCACTTCTGCCGCTTTTCAAACAGCAAAAGTATTAGATTTTTCCTTCACTTTGGCAGTTTAGCTTTTAACTTTGTTTTACTGGCTTTCTTTCACTCACTCATGTACTTACTAACTTATGAATTCATTCATTTGATTAATTTTTAAATGTGCATTTATGCTAATTTCTATAGGAGACATAAGTGAAGAAAGAAATCCCTATTCTTCAGGAATTTATAATTTATTAGAGAAGTTAAAATAATACAACATGAAACAGTAGATACGGACTTCTAGTTCAAGATGGCAGTCTGAGTAACCATGTCAGCTTCCCTTTGCCCAGCATAGAGACACTCATACCTAATTCACAAGGGTCTCATCTCAAGATCTTTACCTTAATTATACCTTCAAAGGCCCTATTCCAGATAAGGTCACTCAGAGGTTCTGGATAGACTTGTCTTTTGGGGTCAACAATTCAATCCATTATAGAAACATAGCACAGGAATGGAAAACATGAGAGCAAAAGTGTTTAAGGACCCAAAGCATAAATCCAGTTGGAAGTAACGTTCAAAATATTTACCTACGTGTATGACATAGGCACAGACTGATCAAAATGGAAGCCATCCAATCAGAATTATTGTTCAGTCAGGTGAATGTTAGTCCAAGATTCTAAAGCAGAGAATAGAAGTGGTGAAGCAGAGGAAATAATCAAAGAAAGAGTAGAAGAAAATTTTTACAGGCTTAAGAAAGATTAATTCTTAGCTGGGAGTGGTGGCTCATGCCTGTAATCCCAGCACTTTGGGAGCCTGAGGTGGGTGGATCACCTGAGGTCAGGAGTTCAAGACCAGCCTGGCCAACACGGTGAAACCCCGTCTGTACCAAAAATACAAAAAATTAGTTGGGTCTGGCGGCACTCACCTGTAGTCCCAGCTACTCAGGAGGCTGAGGCAGGAGAATCTCTTGAGCCCAGGAGGCGGTGGTTGCAGTGAGCTGAGATTACACCACTGCACTCCAGCCTGGGCAACAGAGCAAGACTCCATCTCAAAAAAAGAAAAAAAGAAAAAAGAGAAAGATTGATTCTTGATTTTTAAAGAATTCAGTAAGTGCCAAGCAAGGTAAATGAAAAAGACAAAACTTAGGAGAAATTAATTTTGATACTTTCTAGGGGAAATTTCATCACTCCAAGAATAAGAGAAAATCTGAAAAGCTTACAGTAAAAAGAAAATTGTTTACTTACAAAGAAATTGTACTAGTCAGGGTTCTCCAAAGAGACAACCAATAGGAGACAGATCAATAAATCAATCAATAGATAAGATTTGTTAGGGAAGTTGGTTCACATGATTATGGAGGCTGGGAAGTCCCATGACAGACCATTTGCAAACTGGAGAACCAGGGAGCCAGTAGTGTGGCTCAGTTTAAGTCCAAAGGCCTTAGAACCAAGGAAGCTGATGGTGGAACTCTCAGCCTAAGGCCAAAAGCCTGAGAACCTAAGGGGCAGCTTGTTTAAGTCTTACAGTTCAAAGGTCAGACAGCCTGGAGTTCTGATGTCCACGAAAAGGGAAGAAGAGTGTTCCAGTGTTCCAGCTCTAGGAGAGAGAAGAAATGGCCTCTTTTCTGCCTTTTTTGTTCTACCTGAGCCCCGAGCCAGCTGCAGGGTTCTACCCACATCAAGAGTGGTCTTCCCCACTCACGCCACTGACCCACTTACCAGTCTCCTCTAGAACCACCTTCACAGACAAACCTAGAAACAATGCTTCACCAGTTCTCCTGCTATTGTTAAATCCAGTCAAGTAGACATCTGAAATTAATTATCACAGAAATGTTTGAAATGTGAATCAAATTTCTCATCCCCATACCAGATGTTAGAACACAGAGTAGCAATACCTTTTTCAAGGAAATTAAAGAAAAATAAATAAGAAGAAACTTCCTATTTATGGTTTCTGAAGAGTGAAACTGGGATAGGTGGTGGAGAAAAAACTTTTTTGGCCAGGTGCAGTGGCTCACGCCTGTAATCCCAGCACTTTGGGAGGCCGAGGCGGATGGATCCCTTGAGGTCAGGAGTTTGAGACCAGCCTGGCCAACATGGTGAAACCCTGTCTCTCCTAAAAATACAAAAACTAGCCAGGCATGATGGCGGGCACCTATAATCCCAGCTACTCAGGACGCTAAGGCAGGAGAATTGCCTGAACCTGGGAGGCAGAGGCTGCAGTGAGCCAAGATAGCACCAATGTGCTCCAGCCTGGGCAACAAAGCGAGACTCTGTCTCAAAAAAAAAAAAAAAAAAAAAAAAAAAAAAAAAAACCACTTTTCCTTTACATTTTATCCCTTTTGTACTTAAAAAATACACTCATCCCTATAATTTTTAAATTTAAATCATAACAAAAAGGTAGTATATTGTATTATCATACTGCTTTTCAAACTTTAATGTGCCTATGAATCAATGAAGGCTCTTGTTAAAATACATATTCTGATTCAGTCAGTGTTGAGTGTTATCTGAGACTGCATTTCTAACAAGCTCCTATGATATGTGGATGTTGCTTGTCCTAGAACCACACTTTGACTAGCAAAGGTGTACAAGTTCAAAGAAGAGTGCAGCATTCTGTCTCAGCAGTCCTAAAGTTTGGTGTGCAAAAGATTCACCAATGGAGTGTGTTAAAATACAATTTCCTCAGTCCCAGTGCAGGAGATTCCAATTCAGTAGGCTTGGAATAAAGTTATAGCATCCACATTTTCAATGAACTCTACTCTTAATTCTTCTACATGCTTACATTTACATTATGTTATGCTGACAAACTTTTCATAGATAAAATTTTAGAGGATGTTGTTTTGTTTATCTCTGACAATCATTTTATATGTTTATCATGTACAACATGATGTTTTGAAATATGTATAAGTTGTGGAATGGCTAAATTGAGCTAATTAACATATGCATTACCTCACATACGCATCAGTTTTTGTGGTGAGAACACTTAAAATCTATCTTAGCAATTTTCAAAACACAATACATTGTTATTAACTGTAGCCACCATGTTGTATAATAGATCCCTTAAACTTATTACTTTTATCTAACTGAAATTTTATATCCTTTGACCAACATCTCCCTAATCCATGAGTTCAACTTTTTAAGATTCCACATACAAGTGAGATCATGTGGTATTTGTCTTTCTGTGTCTGACTTATTTCACTTAATACAATATTCCCCAGCTTCATCTATGTTGTTGCAAATAACACAAGTGTCCTTCATTTTTAAAGCTGAATAGTATTCCATTGTGTATATGTGCCACATTTTCTTTATCCATTTACCTGTTGAAGGACACTTAGCTTGATTTCATGTCTTGGGTATTTTGAAAAATGTTGCAAAGAACATGAGAGTGTAGATATCTCTGTCATACACTGATTTTATTCCCTTTGAATATATACCCAGTATTGGGATTGCTGGATCATATGGCAGTTCTATTTTTAATTTTTTGAGGAATTTCCATACTGGTTTTCATAATGGCTGCACTAATTTGCATTCCTGCCAATAGTGCACAAGTGTTCCCTTTTCTTCACATCCTTGTCAATATTTATCTTTTGTCTTTTTCTCTTTTTCTTTTTTTTTTTTTGAGATAGTGTCTCACTCTGTTGCCCAGGCTGGAGTGCAGTGGCACGATCTCGGCTCACCGCAACTTCCGCCTCCCGGGTTCAAGTGATTCTCCTGCCTCAGCCTCCCAAGTAGCTGCGATTGCAGGCACGTGCCACCACCCTTGGATAATTTTTGTATTTTTAGTAGAGACGAGGTTTCACCATGTTGGCCAGGCTGATCTTGAAATCCCAACCTCAGGTGATCCGCCTGCCTCGGCCTCCCAGAGTGCTGGGGTTACAGGCATGAGCCACTGTGCCTGGCCTTTTTTTTTTTTTCTTTTGAGACGGAGTCTCTTGCTCTGTTGCCCAGACTGGAGTGCAGTGGCACCATCTCAGCTCACTGCAACCTCCACCTCCTGAGTTCATGCAATTCTCTTGCCCCAGCCTCCTGAGTAGCTGGGATTACAGGCGTGCACCACCACACCCGGCTAATTTTTAGTATTTTTAATAGAGACGGGATTTCACCATGTTGGCCAGGCTGGTCTTGACCCCCTGACCTCAAGTGATCCACCCGCCTCAAACCCCCAAAATGCTGGGATCACAGATGTGAGCCACCACACCCAGCAATCTTTTGTCTTTTTCATAATAGCCATTCTAACAGGTATGCAGTGAAATCTCATTGTGGTATTAATTTGCATTTTTCTGCTGATTGGTGATATTGAGCATTTTTTTGTACACCTGTTGGCCATTTGTATATATTCTTTTTAGAAATGTCTGTTCAGATCCTCTGCCTATTTTTTAATTGGTTTGTTTTCTTGCTATTGAGTTCCTTTATATATTTTGGATATTAAGCCTTTATCATATGTATTCTGGGGATGTTGTTTAATCTATACTCCCCTGTTAATTAACTTTTATTAAGAAATGTTGTAGAGTTTTTGGATTGCATTAAAATTAGGTAGATACCAAATTGAAATGGAATTTGTGACTTTTAGCAAAATACTAAAATAAGGTGTTTAATAATTAAAAGAATTAAAATGAAATGTTGGTTATATTTTAAAATTTGTATTTATGTTTAATGGCTAATGAAAGCTTAGGAAGCTGTCCCTAAAATGCCACATTATGTTAATTATGTATTATCTACGTTCAAAAACTATAAGAGAAAAATTAACAAATTAATGTCCTGGGCTAGAGAAAAAAATCTTAATATGTAAATCTTAATTTGCTTTTGGAGATTCAGTCCTTAGCACCATTAACAAATCAATACAGAGTAAAAGAGAGTGATTTTAGTTTTTACTTTGAATATCCTCTAATGTCTCCCTACAAATTGCCAGGTTCCAAACCTCAACCAATGCTTAGAAACTTTAAGTATAATATTTACTGAGACTGTCATTTATTCATTGGTTGGTTCATTCCTTTTTTAATAGTTATTAAACACCCATTTTGTGGTACTCTGTAAAGTGTGTGTCCTGCTCCCACTGAGTTCTCAGCCATGCTTGGAGACCCGTGAAATTAATTTGCATCAAAATGCTCAACGTTGGTCTTTCTTTTAAAAGCGGGAAAAGACGCTAAAAACTATAGGCTATTATACAATGGGATTCCGACCTGATAAATCCTGATAAGGTGAAAATGCATTTAATCCACCTAACCTACTAAATACCATAGCTTAACCTAGTCTACCTTAAACATGCTTAGAACATTACATTAGTCTACAATTGGGCAAAATTGTCTAACACAAAGCCTACTTTATATTAAAGTATGGAATATCTCATATAATTTATTTAATTCTGTACTAAAAGTGAAAAACAGGATGGTTGTGTGGATACTTACAGTATGGTTTCTACTGAATGTGTATCATTTTTACACCATTTTAAAGTCAAAAAATTGTAAACTAAACCATGGTAAGTTGGAGACCATCTGTATAAGTAATATGGAAATTCATTATTTTTACAGCAATAAAGTAATGAGAACAGAGAAAGTTTCCATAAATGCTATCCTCAATCCTAATCTCTATGCATTTAGATATGCATTTACATATATATTTATGTGTGTGTGCATATATGTATATATACACACACATATATATGTATATAGGTATGTAAGTCAGCCCTCTGTATCCGTGGATTCCGCATCTGTGAAATCAAAGAGCCATGGATCAAAAATACTCTTAAAAAACCTTGTGTCTGTACTAAACACGTACAGACATTTTTTTCTTGTCATTATTCCCTAAACAATAGAGTATAACAACTATTTACATGTGTTTACATTATATTAGGTATTATGTGTAATCTAGAGATGATGTCAAGTACGTAGGAGAATGTACACGGATTATATGTAAATACTACACTGTTTTGTATCAGGCACTTGAGCATCTGTAGATTTTGGTATCTGTGGGAGGAACTGGAACCAATCCCACGTGGATACCAAGGGACAACTCTATATGCATGCATATATGGATAAAGAGAGCTATGTACATAAATATAATATAGAGAGATATCTACAAAAACTTATGTATATATGTATATATCTCTCCTTTGTATGCATATGTGTATATATATGTGATTTGGTGTGAGTGTGTGATGTTCTACACAGTTGATGTTTTATCATACATTTTTAGCAATTTGATTTTTTTTCATTAATATGTCGTAGAGATCTTACTGTGTTAGTCCATACAGATTGACCTCATTGTCAATTCGTAGGCTAAACAGGATACCTATTTAGCTATTGCTCAATTGATGATGATCTATGTTGCTTCCAGCTTTTGCTTTTACAAATATACTGCACTGAACATCCTTGTACATGCTTCATCATGCCCACCTAAGTGGGGATTTCTATAGAATAAACGCTGAATAGTCAGATTATTATGGGTTATACAATGTTTAGGTTTTCTTAGATACTTCTAAACTGCTAAATTAATTTGTTTAGCAGATATAATCTTATCAGTATTACAAAGTATTAAATCTTAACAAGTTGGCTTTGTGAAAAATAACTTGTTTTTGCTCAGTTTAATTTCCTCAGTGACAAACTGTAGCCCTGTAGATAAGGAAGAAGAAAGAAGGGCAATATATTTGAAGTGAAGATTTGGATTTGAATTATAGAAGTTTCTTGCTAATGAACCTGGGAAAACTGCTTTGAAATATACGATGATCAGATACCCAATTAACTAGAGTACTAAAAACAAAAGCCAGTAATTAAAACCTTACCATCAACCTGAGGGTCTTTATTGAAGCTCTTCTGGTTTAATACTCTTAATTTTTTTAAAAAAATCAATCTGTTGAATGTATTAAAAAGCTGGCTTAATAAAACCTGAAGATAGCTTAAGAATAATGAGAAACTCGGGCTTATTTTGAAAAGTGACCATTAAAACTAAAATCTTCCTTATAGGTGATTCTATTCAATGATTCAGTCCACTGATGTTTAGAATGGATTCCATCAGCTGGTAAAAGGCACTCCTTCAGGATGGACACTCTCCCCCTGCAGCTATCCACAGCCCTCATGCCAACCAAACTGCTCCTGTTAAGGCCCAGTGCTAACACTGACCCTCACTGTTCATACTCAGGCTGTTAGTTGCTAGTCTGCATATACTTATAGGATTTCTTCGTACTGTTATGGATTATATCGACTCTTTCTCCTCTCTCTCTTTACTCCCATGTGGACTCCTGGAAGACTGAACCATGACATATTCATTATTGTATTCCCAGCTGACAGTACTGTGCTTAGGAGCCTAGTGGTTAAGATATTGGCTTCAAGCAGATCTGTATTTAACCTCATTTCTGCCACTTTCCAGCTTTGTGTATTCTTGAGGAAATTGTTCCAATACATAGGCCTCAGTTTCCTTTTCTGTAAATTGGGACCACCTACCTTAAAGGATCATTAGGAGAGGATTAATTTTAATATCTGCATGCTTAGTATAGTATAAACAGTGAAATGATAGCTGCTGTTAATGTTACCAACATAAGGAACATATATGTATCTTTACTTTGTTTTCTCTAGTATAAGCCGTATCCCTGCATTTATTCAGCACAGACTTGGAGAGCTCAGCATAAAATATAGTCAGGTTTTCAAGATATTTGTCTGCTCAGACACTTAAAAATTTGGTGGAAGACACAGCATTTGCTCCTAGTAGCGATAAACATATCCAGGAATGAGCTGGCATACTAAGCTCAGTGGTCTCCTATTTGGCCCAGTGTAGAGATTTTAGAAAGGCGGGGGACCACATATAAAGAAAATAATTGAGCATCTTCAGAATGCAATCTAATAGCTAGCTTTATCACCTTCCCAGGAATGTGTGCTTAATAAAATAAGTCTTGGAGAACATTTACACATTGGTACTATGTTAGAGAAAGGTCTTTAATCCCTCTTTGGGAATTAACACACATATCATTTTTACTTCTATACATATAAAATATTTATTCTTCCCACCAAGAGCTATACTGCTGCTGTTGAAATCTGGGTCTAGGAATTATTGTTTACATCTCAGCTCGGTCACTTTATACCCCTCTCTGCTGTGTTTATGTTGAAGATTCTAAGCTGCCTTAGCGCTCTATCAACTCGGCATTTGGATCCAAACTCATATCTTTTATGGTGACTGGCTGTCAAATTGGTACTCAATGTACTTTCTGCTCCTGAAACCCTTTCTGCTCCCCACTTTCTTCTCTGATTTTATGTGTCCTTTAATTTCCTCTTGAAAAATACGGGCTGCCAATGGCAATTCTTTCTGTGATCATGCTGCCTAGAGAGCTCCATTTCCTGTGCTACCCACCATTGCTGAACATCTCCTTGTCTGTCACAGTACCCCTGGTCTCCTCAGAAACAGACATGAAACACCGTCTCACTCTTTTTGAACAGTGAACTTTTACTTTCCCATTCCCTCTGACCTTCTCTGGGTGGTATGAAATAGAAAGCAGATATGGCGTATCAAAATTGTCTCCTTCAGTCAAGTTGCCACGGGGGAAAAACCCAAGATTCTGTGAGGCTACTGTGTCTCAGATCTTTCCTGGAAACATCATAAGCAAGAGCCCGTTCTCCATCATCCATCATTCTGAATCCCTGGAGCATATTCTAGGATGTGCGGTGTATGAGGACTCTCCTGGTGCCACCTTCTGCATTTGGTTTCCTGCCATCTCCTGTCTCAGGATTCAAGGCCTCATAGGCCTGGCTAGACTCCACACAGTATTCCTCCTGGTGGTGCCAAATTAACCAACCTGCCTTTGTATTTGGAACCTTCTCTGAAAGCTTTCCAGCAGTTTCTTATTGCCAAGGTCTCTGCTCCCAATTTTAAAGCCTTGAAGTCTCGCCTTTTCTCTGTCATCCCTCTAGCCTTGTTTGATCAATGACCACCCTGGCGTCCAGGGCTCTGTTTTATTCTGTGGGTGCTATTCTGTGTGTTTGGAAGGTTCCATTGTATGTCATCCACTTACTACCTGGTCCTCAGCCCACATTTGAAGCCAGCTATTTTGGTTTCCTTATTCTCTCAGTAACGTTCAGGTCTAGACACTGCCCTGGATGTGGGGTTTTATTTTCTTTCACGTGGGTGTCATGAGAGTCATTGTAATCCCCATGATATTAGTTGAAAACAAAGGTGTTGGATAGTGACTGTACATATACCTGAATACTTGCATCAAATAGGGGATTTTGGAAAATAGATCCTAAAAGGGAAACTTCTCATGGTGGAGAGTCAGTGAGGTGAATATTTTTAAGTTATTTTACTTGTTTTTCCCTCAAATCATTTCTCACAGGTACCACCTGATCATAAGATAAGCTTTGCTCTCCTCTTTCTTTCATACAGTTTCAGTTTCCCGTTCACCATGGCAGGTAATTTTTCCACGCAGTAGAGTGAGGGTAGGGTTGAGTTGTAGGCAGCCAAACTGCCTGGGTTTGAATCCCACTTTGGCCACTTATTAGCATTAGGTGTGTGATCTTGAGTGATGTTTTCTCTTCTCTTCTCTTTTTCTTTTCTTTCTTTTCATTTCTTTTCTTTTTTCTTTATTTTCTTTTCAGACAGTGTCTCACTCTTACTCTGTTGCCCAGGCACAATCATAGCTCACTGCAGGCTCAGACTCCTGGGCTCAAGCTATCCTCCTGCCTCAACCTCCCGAGGAGTTAGGACTACAGGTGCAAGCTACCATGCTTGGCTAATTTTTTATGTTATTTTTTTGTAGAGACACGGTCTTGCTTTGTTGCCCAGGCTGGTCTTAAGCTCCTGATCTCAAGTGATCTACCCACCTCAGCCTTCTAAAGTGTTGAGGTTACAAGCGTGAAGCACCACGCCTGGCTTTCAGTAATGTTTCTTAATCTTTGTTCCTCAGTTTCCTCAGGCATAAAATAGTTCTTACTTTATAGGGGGTTCTTGTAGGAATTACATAAGTTAAAATATTATTATCTTGAAATACAAAAGAAAAGTGATAAATTTTATCTACCTGTCACCACTCCTGTGATATCCATATGTATATTACTCTTATGCATCTGGACTTTGACTGATAAAAGACTTTTTTTGCTACTATTATGTACCTTAATCTTGCCTTTATTCTCTACTTGTATGCTCCTTGTATGTTTGCCCATGTTAATGGTTCGTAGTTTATCCCAGAGAACAGTGCTCCATACAAATGTTGCCTAATAAAAGCTTTTCAGTGAGCTTGATGACAAAGGACATTATCTTAGCTTTGCACAGCCTGAAAAATATTTAAATTCTGTATCTTAATCAGGCTGTTTTAACTCTATTTGTATATTTAGTCCATTTGTTAACCTCATCCTGTACTTTTTAATGTGATTATAATCTGTTTTCTCAGAATGATGAAGCTTGAATGAGATAATCTATAAATGAAAGTATGTTGTAAATAGAAAAGTGCCATGCAAATATAAAATATATTAGTAATAAATAACCTTATGGAGTCACAAAACAGTGTGTTATCTTTGGGTGAAAATAAGGCAGCTGTGATTTGATTCATGCAGTAGAAAAAGCCTTGAAGTAGATGTAAAGTATATGAGAGGTTTGCTTCTAAGTGAATTGATGACTATGATTACTTATTTGCTTTTAAATCTCTTTAGATGTTTATTAAACTTCTATCATGCTCCAAAATTAGTTTTTAAAAATTACTCAGTTTATTAAAACATAATTTTGTTGCATACCAACACTTATTAGGATACAACTTTATATGCTTTTGAGGAAAAGCAATGACCATTCGAGGTAAACCAACTACATGGCAGGTGCAATGTTACAAGTTTTACATTTGATAAGATTTTATTCTCTAGTTTCATACCTGGCATCCTGCTTAGCCTACCTTTACTGTCAGAGATCTTATCAGCAAGTAGCAATCTATTCCCTCAAGAAATGTTCCTGCTGATATGGAAAAATAGGAAGGAAATGTCACTGGAACCGTAATAGGCCTTTGTAAATCTTGGCTTAATACTGACACAAACAGCCATCCTGCTCTTAAATCCTCTGATACTCTTTAATTAAAGCCTTTTCAGAGCCCTGAAAATTACCAATAGGTAAGCTAAAATAAAATCTATTTTATTTGATGAAATGTGGCTTTAAGCACTTTTTCAAGACATATAAAAGTATTTGTCAATTTCTGTTAAGTTTTAGTAAAATAACAACTTACCTCCTTGATCTTAAATAAATATGTCTGCCCTTTTATTGTATCCTACCTGTTATCTAAAAGAGACTTGAAAAAGGTTATGATGTGTAACATATGCACCATAAAACTAATGAATTACTACTAGACAGTACTCTAGAAGTTGGCACAGAAAATAAAACAAATTTGTTCAAAAAGAGACTAATATAGTTATATAATGAGCAGCTGGTTTGTTTGACTCTCAGCTTTCTGGCAGCCAGGGGAAAAATGGAAATAGGCTAAATTATATATTCTCAGTATCATAAAGGAAAAAACATGTCAAATTCTTAATGTACTGTATTATGTACAGTATAACCGTATTCATAAATACAGTTATACATACATGCCTCACCACATGTTGGAAAAAACTTACTCAAAAACATGTCTGTTTTACTAAATTTATATTTTTAATTACTTTGCTTAAGTTAATGTGAAAAACTTTTTTTTATCCCTTGGGAATACTCTTTCTGTGCATGCAATTTTAGGTAGCAGCAGGGTATGGATGATAAAGAAAATTTTGCCATAGAGAAAAAAGTAAAAATTGTGAATGTATCTAATTTTAAAAATATTGGCTGTATAGTTAGGATTCTGACAAATTGCATAATGACTAGCTCTGTCAACAATTGGGAGGTAAGGAAGAACAAAAATAAATTGCTTTCAAAGTGTAGAATTTGTGAAAAGAATGAAGACCTCTATCTTCAGTGTACCTACTTGGAATTTGATTTCCAAAGCTCAAGTTTGTTTAAAATTTTAGCCTAGGAAAATATTGGTGTGCAATAGAAGAGGAAGGCAGATTGGTTACTGAAGTACAATAATGCACTTGTAGCAGGAGTGGGAGTCAGCTCAGGAAACATATATTCTTAGTTGAAATGCATTTGTTAGTAACATACTATTGACCACTTGAGAAAGAATAGTAGAGGAAATATTTTCAAGCAAACCAATATACTTATTTTCACCTTTCTAGAAATGTTTGAAGAAATGAAACAAAGGAAAGTGACTCACTGGGACTTATAACTGAGAGTCATGAGAGGGTAAGAAGTTATAGTGATAGAAAATAAAAACAAATTGCTTCTTTGGGTGAAACTGTGAAGTCTGTGGCAGATGGTTTCTAAATCAATAACCTTTTCTTCAGATTCGCATGTGGTGGAAGATAGTGTAACTATAGATTGTAATATACTGTCATACTTTATTAGCATTACTAAACCTTTCTGTTTGAAACCTAGGGGCACTTCGAAGAAGTTTCTTTTTAAAAAATTTATTCTGCTTAAACTGTCTAAATACAAATGGGTACAAATATATAGTTAGATCAAAGGAATAGGATTTGATAGCACAACAGGATGACTATAGTAAACACAGATATTTTTCATGTAAGCCCTTTGTACAGATACTTGAAGAGAGTTCCCTGGCCTATTTTTATATATGACGGTGGATAGATTTTATGTTTTCATTATTAAAGTAAATTGGACAAAACAGAGAATAGTTAGCAATTTATATTTGTTTTTATATATTATGTGCTTTGATCTTCATTATCAAATAACTTGTAATAAGGTCATGAGAATTCATAAACTAGCTTAAAATTATTTAATTGTACAAGTCTTTTCTTTGTGTTTGACTGACTGGTTTCACATTATTATCATATTGCTTCAAACCAAATATATAGGTTAATTTTCAACTCTAATGGAATTTGGCAGATTTAAGATTTTAGTTCTATAGAATAGTTTCATTTTGGGTTGTTCATGTTGTTAAAAGTTAGTTTTTAAACTGTATCAAATATCTGTATTGTAAATCTCTTCTATCAAGTGTCTTCTCAAATGTACATCAAATAGCACTTATATAATGTGTGGAATATACTTTATGTTTTAGGTGAATTCTTTCATTTATTTGCAAATAGCATTGTCAGGAAGATAGAAAAGGAATTATTTTTATTCCCGTTTTTTTTTTAGTAAGGAAACTTGGAAGCAAGTAGCTAGTAAATGACATGGAATCCTGGTTTCAAAAGCTCAACTCTTTCCTGGGTTCCAGATTGGTAGTTGACAATGAATTTGCTCCCAAGTTTGCATGAGAGGAACCTCAAAAATCAATAGCTCTAGAATATAGATATCTAAAAGGAAGAGAGGTTTAGCAGAAAGAAAATTCATAAAGATAGTGGTGCATTGTTTTTGATAGTGAAGAATTTATTCTTTAAACTAGATAACTGACTCAGAATAATTAAATGCTGTCTTTATATTTAGCATCTCAGGCATCTTTTCCTCATGTCTTAATTTCCTTTTATTTCAAAATTAAAATGATGGTGCACTTTCCAAGAATTGGCTTCTCTGCAGGCTAGTTGGATATTTCCAGTGTCAGGACATCAGAATTTCCATGGCAGTTCCACAAGGCATAAATAGTAGAGAGCTGTTTGTATCCTTACCAGATTTCCCTTTCAGGCTGTAATATGCTGCTGGAGTGTTTGTGTTAGAAACACATTATTTTGCTTTAAAAACACGGCAAGCTTGAGGTAGTTGAAGGCCATTAATAAAGAAGCTGGTAGCTTCATCTTCTAAGCTTTTCCCTGGAACATGCTTCAATCTCTTTGCATATATATACGTCTCTCCCACCAAGTACGGATATTAAGCCCACTAATTAATATTTTCCATATCATTTAATCTCCTGCTCTATTTGTTAATTCTCTGGAAATGTTCAGTAATCAAAAGTGCATAGTCAAGGGAGGATATGATAAGTCAGGTATGTCCTTGAACCAACAGACCCCTTTTGTTTACCCAGTAAGTCTTGAAGATAACACTAATTAGGCACATGGAAAAATATGCAAATTATAGCCTGTACAAATTAAAAGTCATCATTAACAGTATCTCACGGAAATATAGACCTTAGGTTTCTCATTCCTCACACCCTCTGTGGTGTATAGAGGTGTTGTAATAGAGAAAAGAGGCTTTACTACTCCCAGATTTCCTGGATTCCTATTCAATGTGCCCTATTTCCTTGACTGGTATACCCTTCCCTTTAAGGCCATCTGACCAGGATCAAAGATGCCTGCATTAGAAACTCCCCAGACATTTCCTTGCCTCCATCTTCAATATCCTAGACTCCTCTCTGTCTTACAACCATACCGACACTTAAAAATAACTTGTTGAGTTGTTGAGGTATAATTTGCATACACAATAAAAAGCACAGATTTAAAGGATATGCTTTGATAAGTTTTGATAAATGTGTGTCGTATGTAACCACCACCTTAATCAAGATGTCTTTATATTTCCATCATCCTAGAAAGGCCTGCAGATTCTTTTGCAGTCGCTTCACTCCTCCCTTTCACCAACTCTTTAATTTTTTTCATCACCATTGATTAGTTTTATTTGTTCTGCAACTTCATATAAATGAAATATTGTCTTCTTTCATTCAGTATTGTCTGGGAAATTAACTATGGTGTTGCATGTATGAACAATTTGTTCATTTCTATTTCTGAGTAGGAAAATCTGCTTCTCCATTCACCTGTTGTTGGGCATTTGGGTTATTTCCGGTCTAGGACTGTTATGAAAATGCTACTATGAGATTGTATTCAAATCTTTTTGCTTTAATACACCTTTTTATTTTGAGATTTTTTAGATTCACGTGTGATTTTAAGACATAACACAGAGAGATTCCGTGTATCCTTTATTCAGTTTTCTCCAGTAGTAACATCTTACAGAATTATAGTACAGTATCATGACCAGGAATTGACATTGTTATCATCTACTGATGTTATTTAGATTTCCCAGTTTTACATGTACTCGAGTGTGTGTGTGTATATTTAGTTCTAGACAATTTTATTTCATGTGTAGTTTTGCATATTCACCACCCCTGTCAGAACAGTTTTGTCACCACAAAGATCTCCCGCATTGCCCTTTAATAACCACATACATCTCCTCCATCCCCAACCCCTGGAAATGAGTAATATATTCTCCATCTCTATAATCTTGTTATTTCAAGAATGCTATTTAAACGGAATCATATAATATGCAACTTTTAAGATTGACATTTTTCACTCAGCATCCTTCCCTTGAGATTTATCTAAGCTGTGTGTATATCAATGGGTTTCCTTCCCATCGAAGGTTGTTTCTAGTTTTTGGCTGTTACTAATAAAGCTGCTGTGAACATTAGTGTACATGTTTTTGTGTAAAGATAAGTTTTCATTGCTCTGGTATAAATGCCCAAGAGCACAATTGCTGGGTCATATGGTGATAGTATGTTTAGTTTTATATAAAACTGCTGAGCTGTTTTCCAGAATAACGGTACCGTTTTACATTTCCAGCATCATTGCACCGGTGAGCCAACTTCTCAGCATCATCAGCATTTGATGTTGTCACTCTTTTTTATCTGAGCTATTCTTACAGGTGTGCAGTGATATCTCACTGTAGTTTTAATTTGTTTCTTTAATGGTTAATGGTGTTGAACATCTTTTCATGTACTCATTTGCCATCTATGTATCTGTCTTGGTAAAATATCTTTTCCATGTCTTTTGTCCATTTTCTGTTTGAATGGTGTTTCTTTACTGTTGAGTTATGAGAATTCTTTTTAAAAATTTTTAATAATTTTTAATTGTGTGCGTACATAGTAGGTGTATATATCTATGGGGTACATGAGACGTTTTGATACAGGCATGCAATGTGTAATAATCACATCATGGAGAATGGGATATCTATCCCCTCAAGCATTTATCCTTTATGTTAGAAGCAATCCAATTATACTCTTTCAGTTATTTTTAAATGTACTATTAACTTAATATTGACTATAGTCACCCTGTTGTGCTATCAAATAGTAGGTCTTATTCATTGTTTCTTTTTGTACCCATTAACTATCCTCACCTGCTTCTTACCCTTCCCCCTACCCCCAATCCCTTACCAAAAAGATGGGATTGCCAGGCGCGGTGGCTCACGCCTGTAATCCCAGCACTTTAGGAGACTGAGGCGGGTGGATCACGAGGTCAGGAGATCACAACCATCCCGGCTAACATGGTGAAACCCTATCTCTACTAAAAATATCAAACAATTAGCCGGGCGTGGTGGCGGGTGCCTGTAGTCCCAGCTACTTGGGAGGCTGAGGCAGGAAAATCACTTGAACGCGGAAGGTGGAGGTTAAGATGAGCTGAGGTCACACCACCGCACTCCATCCTGGGCAACAGAGCAAGACTCCATCTCAAAACAAAAACAAAAAAACTTGATTTGAGCCCACAGATAAGTGAGAACATATGATGTTTGTCTTTCTGGGTCTGGCTTATTTCACTTAACATAATGATCTCCTTTTCCAACCACGTTGTTGCAAATGACAGGATCTCATTCTTTTTATGGCTGAATAGTATTCCATTTTGTATATGTACCACATTTCCTTTATCCATTCACCTGCTGATGGACACTTACGTTGCTTCCAAATCTTAGCTATTGTGAACAGTGCAGCAATAAACATGGGAGTGCAAATATCTCTTCGATTTACTGCTTTCCTTTCTTTTGGGTATATACCCAGCAGTTAGGATTGCTGGATTATATGCTAGCTTTATTTTTAGTTTTTTAAGCAACCTCCAAACTGTATTCCATAGTAGTTGTACTAATTTGCATTCCCACCAACAGTGTATGAGGGTTCCCTTTTCTCCACATTCTTGCCAGCATTTATTGTTGCCTGTCTTTTGGATATAAGCCATTTTAACTTTCATTGGCATCTTTATTAAAAGCCACTGGATGTATTTTGTGGGTCTGTTTCTGGATTCTGGGTTCTCTTCTGTGGCTCTCTCTGGATGGATCTAGGAATAGATCTAGAGTCTGTTCCCTAAAACACTACCATACTGTCTTGATTTTTCTAGCTAATAATGTAAGCCTTATTAAAAGGCAGAGTGATTTCTGTACCTACTTTATTCTTCTTTATCAACTTTCTTTTAGCTATTATAGGGCTATGCATTTCCATATAAATTTTCTCTATGTCCACAAAGCTGGGATTTTGATAGGAATTATATTAAACTCATATGTCAACTTGGGGAGAGTTAACCACTTCACTATGTTGAGTTTTCCAATCCATGAACAAGGTATATCTCTCCATTTATTTCTATCTTTCTTTTATTTCATCAGCATTTTGCAATTTTTAGCATAAGATCCCATGCACATTTTCTTAATATATTTTTAAGTATTTCATTTTCTTTGAAGTGATTCTAAATAGTATTATATTTTAAATTTCAGTTTCTGCATGTTAATTGTTAGTATATAGAAATATGATGGATTTTTGTGGATTGATCTTCTATCTTGCAACTTTGCAAAACTTGCTTATTAGGTCTGGGAGTTTTTTTTTTCTTTTTTTTCTTTTTTTTTTGGTAGATTCCTTGGGATTTTCTACATAGACAATTACGTTATCTGCAAATAGAGATGGGTTTACTTCTTCTTTCCCAGTCTGAATATCTTTTTTTTTCTTTCTCTTGCCTTATTTCAGTGGCTAGAACTGAACGTTTTATTTTTATTTTATTTATGTATTTATTTTGAGACAGAGTATCGCTCCATCACCCAGGCTGGAGTGCAGTGGCGCAATTTCGGCTCACTGCAACCTCTGCCTCCCAGGGTTTTTTGTTTGTTTGTTTGTTTGTTTTTGAGATGGAGTCTCTCTCTATTGCCCAGGCTTGAGTGCAGTGGCATGATCTTGGGTCACTGCAACCTCTGCCTCATGGGTTCAAGCGATTCTTTTGCCTCAGCCTCCTGAGTAGCTGGGATTACAGGTGCGTGCCACCATGTCCGGCTTATTTTTTTAGTAGAGACAGGGTTTCACCATGTTGGCCAGGCTGGTCTCAAACTCCTGACCTTGTGATCCAACTGCCTCATCCTCCCAAAGTGCTGGGATTACAGGCGTGAACCACCATGCCTGGCCTCACTTCCCAGGTTCAAGGGATTCTCCTGCCTCAGCTTCCCGAGTAGCTGGGATTACAGGCATGCGCTGCCATGCCTGGCTAATTTTCTATTTTTAGTAGAGACAGGGTTTCACCATGTTGGTCAGGCTGGTCTCCAACTCCTGACCTTAGGCAATCCACCCACTTCGATCTCCCAAATACTGGGATTACAGGTATGAGCCACTGCACCTGGCCTGAGAGTTCTATTTTTAAAAAACCATGAATGATCCTGTATTTTGTTAGCTGCCTTTTCTGTGCCAATTGATATGATTTCTCATCTCTAACCTGTTGATATGGTGGATTTCATTGATCAATTTTCCAAATATTAAACCAGCATTAAATATAGGGAACAAATACAAACTTGGTCATGGTATGTTATTGGATTTGAATTTGCTAATGTTTTGTTGAGGATTTCTGCATCTAAGTTCATAGAATATATTTTTTGTTTTCTTTGTTTGTACTGTCTTTGTTAGGTTTTGGTATCATTACAATACTAGCCTCATAAAGTAAGTTGAGAAACATTCCCTCCACTTCCGTTTTCTCAGAATGGTTGTGTAAAATTGTAACTGCCCAGTGGGTTCACCTTGCCCACTGCCTAGACAGAGCTGCTTTCTTAAGACAGGGGAACTGTAATGGAAAAAGAGTAATTCATGCAGAGCCGGCTGTGCAAGAGACCGGAGTTTTATCATTACTCAAATCAGTCTCCCTGAGCATTCGGGGATCAGAATTTTTAAAGATAATTTGGCAGATAGGGCCTTGGGAAGTGGGGAATGCTGATTGGTCAGGTTGGAGATGGAATCATAGGGGGTTGAAGTTAGGTTTTCTTAATGTCTTCTGTTCCTGGGTGAGATGGCAGAACTGGTTGAGGCAGATTACCAGTCTGGGTGGTGTCAGCTGATCCATCAAGTGCAGGGTCTGAAAAATGTCTCAAGTACTGATCTTAGGTTTTACAATAGTGATGTTATCCCCAGGAGCAATTTGGGGAGGTTCAGACTTTTGGAGCCAGAAGCTGCATGACCCCTAAACTGTAATTTTTAATCTTGTAGCTAATTTGTTAGTCCTGTAAAGGCAGACTGGTCCCCAGGCAAGAAGGGGGTCTTTTCAGGAAAGGGCTGTTATCAGTTTTGTTTGATAGTTAAACCATGAACTGAATCCTTCCCAAAGTTAGTTTGCCCTACACCCGGGAATGAACAAGGACAGCTTAAAGGTTAGAAGCAAGATGGAGTCGGTTAGGTCTGATTTCTTTCACTGTCATAATTTGCTCAGTTATAATTTTGCAAAGGTGGTTTCAAAATTAGTGTCAATTTTTTAAATGTTTGGTAAAATTCTCCAGTGAAATTATCTGGACCTGAATATTTTTCTTTGGAGAACTTTTTGATTATGGATTCAGTTTCTTTATTGTTATTTGGATGTGTAATCCTTTTTGTGGACACGTATTTCCTTTTGGGCAAATATCTAGAAGTTGGAGATTCTATACCTTTGGGTCAGTAGATGTTAAACTTCATTTAAAAAGTGCCAAACTCCTTTTTTTATTATTATTATTATACTTTAAGATCTGGGATACATGTGCAGAACGTACAGGTTTGTTACATAGGTATACATGTGCCATGGTGGTTTGCTGCACCCACCAACCCATCATCCACATTAAGTATTTCTTCTAATGCTATCCCTCCCCTAGCCCCTCACCCCCCAACAGGCCCCGGTGTGTGATGTTCCCCTCCCTGCGTCCATGTGTTCTCATTGTTCAACTCCCAATTATGAGTGAGAACATGCGGTGTTTGCCAAACTCTTTTTCAAAATGTTCACGCCATATTATACTCCAAAGAACACTGTAGCAAGTTTCAGTTGCTCTTCACCCTTCTTTGGTATTGTCAGTCTGATTAATTTCAGCCATTCCAATAGATCTGAAGTAGTATCTAATTGTGATTTTTATTTTTATTTCCTTCATTAATGAAGGTGGACATCCTTTTATGTACTTATTTACCATTCTCATACTTTTTTTGGCGAATGTCGGCTCAATCTTTGCCCAATTATTTTGCTTGTTTGCATGTTTATTTTTAGTCAGTAGTTTGTCTTTTTCTTGAGTTGCAAGATCTCATTATATATTTTGGATATACAATATGTCAGATATATGTATTTCAAATTCATGCTCCAAATTTCTGGCTTTCCTTTGCATTTTCTTGATATCCTTTGAAAAGTAAAAGTTTTAATTTTGATCAATTGCAGTGTATTGTTTTTCCTTCTATGTTTGTGCTTTCATGTTCTCATTAATAAATTTTTAATTCTAATAAATATAAATTATATTTATTTTAAATTAATAAATGAACCTACTCCATGGCTGTAAAATTTTTCTCCTATGTTTCATTCTAGAAGTTTTAAGGCTTATGCTTAGATTTATGTTTTAGGCTATGATTCATTCTTTGTATGGTGTGAGGTTGAGGTTTATTATTTTTCATAAAGATGCCCAGTTGATTCAGCATAATTTTTTGAGACCACTATCCATTTCTCTTTGAATTGCCTTGGCACATTTGACAAATATCAATTAACCACTTATGTATGGATCTATTTCTGGACTCTATTCTGTTCCACTGATATATTCATCTGTCCTTATACTGGCGCTGTCCTGATTTGATTATTGTAGCTTTATAATATTCTTTTTTTTTTTTTTTTTGAGACGGAGTCTTGCTCTATCACCCAGGCTGGAGTGCAATGGTGCGATCTCAGCCCACTGCAACCTCTGTCTTCCAGGTTCAAGCGATTCTCCTGCCTCAGCCTCCTGAGTAGCTGGGATTACAGGCACCCGCCACCATGTCCGGCTAATTTTTATTTTGTATTTTTAGTAGAGACGGATTTTACCATGTTAGCCAGGATGGTCTTGATCTCCTGACCTTGTGATCCACCCGCCTCGGCCTCCCAGCTTTATAATATTCTTTAAGCCAGTTAACATGAGTCCCCCCCATTTTTTTTATAATTTTAAAAATGATTCTGACTATGGTAGTTATTTTTGTTTCTTTATACAATGTTTGCTTTCCACAGTGGTGTGGGACTGTAAAAATGGCCATGCAAGCTGAAACCATGCAAAATGATTGTAAAAATCAATGAAAATATTACTATTGTTCCATAACCTATAAAACATTTTGATATTAAAAAATCTCTTACTGCTTAAAGTTATGAAAGTATAAGAAAATGAAAAAATAGTACAACCAATACTAATTTAACATACTATAGTTTCAAACATTAGAAACATTCAAAATTAAAGTATTTTATATTCTGGGAAAAAAGTGTCAGGAGTAGTTTGAACAGCGCTTGCCTTCTTCTTGTATAACCTACCATACAGAGTGAGCATCTTCTCAATATCTTATCAAATCATCATGCTCTTTTCTAAGTTTGAATCACCTTCCAATGTTTTCTCCTTTGTGCCTTCAATATCATGATGTATCTTTGAGAATTCCTTTAAGGGGAAGTTTTTCAGCAAGCGTGACTTCTGGGGCATCTTCATCCTTTTCTTCACACCCACTTTTCCTCATGTGTGTTGATAGCTGTGCTTCACTGAGTTCCTTTGGTTATAGAGCTATAGTTTCTCAAATGATGCCAGTATCAATATTCCCATGGTCAGATATTTCTTTTGTAACTCTATTTACATTTTATTTTTATTTTATTTTGTGTTATCATTTGTTGTTTCTTTGCTGCTTTTTCATCTTTGTTGTCTAATTCTCTCTTTCAGTGACCCGTTTTCATAAAACATCCTATGGGTTTATCAGTGGGAGACAAAGAGGCATCCAAAGTCCATGCTTTGCTGTCTGTGATGAACTGAATAACAAACACAGTGAGCAATCACTAACGGATGGTGAAAGGAGTGATGCAATTAGTTACTGATCATTATGCACATCTCTCTTTTCACATAGCGATTTGTGGACTGAAGGGCTGGTGGCAAATTTTGTATCTTATGCAATTACTTACTGTTAATCTACCATGAGAACTGAAATTTGAAGCATGCTGTTGAGGGACTAGGGTTTTTATTTAAAATGTTGTAACTGAACCCCATGCATATCAAAAGTGTGCTAAGTGAGGATTGTCTCTCTCTCTCTCTCTCACCCTGTGTATGTATGTGTGTGTGTACTTATAATGGAATATCAAGAGGTATGATAATTTTTATGAAGGAAAATGAAGAGGGAACAGGGATGCGAACAGGAAGTGCTCTTTTATATAAAGTCATCATGGAAGACATCCTGCTGAGCTGACCTTTAGGCAATCAATCAATAAAGCACTGCTAAGATTGAAGGAGGTGGGGAATATTATGTGGAAGGAATAGCAAATGCAAATCCCCCAAAAGAGGAATGAGCTTGTAGTATAAAAACAGCAGAATGTAGACGTGTAGCTAGAGTGAGCTAGAGGGAGAGAATTAGAAGATGAGCTTGGAGAAGCACAAAGAGGACAGATCACAGGAGCCCTTGTAGGCTGTGGTAAAGAGTTTGGATTTTATACTTTGTGTGATGAGAAGCTGCCAGACAGTTTTAATCAGAGGAGTGATGTGATTCAATATGCATTTTTAGAGGATCATTCTGGAAACTGAGCTAAAAGTTGACTATGGAATAGCTATAGTGGAAACAAGAAAACCCCTTCCTGGCTGGAGGCCAAGTTGGGAGGTTTTTGCAGCAGTTCAGGTGAGGAATAATGATGGTTTGGACCAGGGTTTTAGCAATAGGGTTTAAGAAGAGGTCAGCTTCAGGGTATATCCTGAAGACCAAACTGAGCAAACTGATAGATTAGGTATGGGCTGTGAGGGAAAGAAAGGAATTAAAGATCATTCCTAAGTTTTTGGCTAGGGCAAGTAAGGGTATAATGGTATGATATATAAAGATGGAGAAGATGGGAAGCAGCAGCTGGGAAGGGAAAATTAAAAGTTTTCCTTTAGATGTGATAAGTTGAGAGGAATATTATCACCTATTCTAGAGCTCAGGGAAGAGACGGTGGCTAGAGATACAAATTTGGGAGTCATTGATATATAAATGCTATTTAAAACCTCAAACTGGTTGAGAATCATATAGGGAGTTACTAGATACAGAACAGTAAGAGGTTAAGGACTATACCCGGTAGTGCCCCGAACTGTAGACGTGAGATAGACAGGGAAAGTTTAGCAAAAGAGAAAGAGCAGCCAGAGAGGTGGTGGAAAAGCCAAGAAAGCACAGTGCCCAGAAACCAAATTTTAGTAACATGTGAAGAAGGAGGAAGCTTTCAGCTTTGGTCAAAATGCTCCTAAGAGGTCAAGTAGTGTGGACTAATTAACCATTGAAACTGGAATATTAAGATCAATCTGGACCTAGACAGGGTTGTTTTGCTGGAGTAACATGGCCTAAGGCCCAACTGGAATGTTTGGAGGCAGACAGGGAGGTGGGAATGGAGAGGGAAAATAGTGACTGCCTCCTACATTGTTTCTTTGTTGACTTTTTGTCTTCATGACCTGTCTAGTGCTGACAGTGGAGTATTCAAGTCCCCCACTATTGTTGTGTTGCCTTCTGTTTCATTTGGTAGGTCTAGTAGTAATTGTTTTATAAATTTGGGAGCTCCAGTGTTAGGTGCATATGTATATTTAGGATTGTGATATTTTCCTGTTGGATTAGTCCTTTTATCATTGTATAATGTCCCTCTTTGTCTTTCTTAACTGCTGTTGCTTTAAAGTTTGTTTTATTCTGATATAGGAATAGCTACTCCTGCTTGCTTTTGGTTTCTATTTGAATGGAATATCTTTTTCTACCTCTTTACCTTAAGTTTATGTGAGTTCCTATGTGTTAGGTGAGTCTCCTGAAGACAGTAGAAACTTGGTTGGTGAATTCTTATCCATTTGCCATTCTGTATTTGTATTGAGATGTGAGCTACTATTCTGTTTATTGTGCTATTTGTTGCCTGAATACCTTGTTTATTTTTTCATTGTGTTATTGTTACATAAGTCCTGTGAGATTTATGCTTTAAGGAGGTTCTATTTTGGTGTGTTTTGAGGATTTGTTTCAAGATTTAGAGCGCCTTTTAGCAGTTCTTGTAGTGCCAGATTGGTAGTGGTGAATTCTCTCAGCATTTGTTATGTCTGGAAAAGACTGTATCTTTCCTTCATTTATGAAGCCTAGTTTCTCTGGATAAAAAATTCTTGGTTGATAATTGTTTTGTTTAAGGAGGCTAAAATAGGACCCCAATTACTCTAGCTTGTATGGTTTCTGCTAAGAAATCTGTTAGTCTGATAGGTTTTCCTTTATAGGTTACCTGATGCTTTTGCTTCACAGCTTTTAAGATTCTTTCCTTCATCTTGACTTTAGATAACCTGATGACTATGTGCCTAGATGATGATCTTTTTGTAATGAATTTCCTGGATGTTCTTTGAGCTACTCGTATTTGGATATCTAGATCTCTTGCAAGGCCAGAGGAGATTTCCTTGATTATTCCCTGAAATGTGTTTTCCAGACTTTTAGATTTCTCTTCTTCCTCAGGAACACCACCAGTTATTCTTAGGTTTGGATGCCTAACATAGTCCCAAACTTCTTGGAGGCTTTGTTCATTTTTAAATATTTTTTGTCTTTGTCTTTGTCAGATTGGGTTAATTCAAAAGCTTTGTCTTTGAGCTCTGAAGTTCTTTCTTCTGATCATTTTATTCTATTACTGAGACTTTCCAATGCATTTTGCATTTCTCTAAGTGTATCCTTGATTTCCAGAAGTCGTGATTGTTTTTTATTTATGCTATCTATTTCACTGAAGATTTTTCCTCTCATATCGTGTATCATGTTTTTGATTTCTTTAAGTTGGAGTTCACGTTTCTCTAGTGCCTCCTTGATTAGCTTAATAATGGGCCTTCTGAATTCTTTTTCTGGCAATTCAGAAATTTTGTCTTGGTTTGGATCCATTACTGGTGAGCTGGTGTGGTCTTTTGGGGATGTTAAAGAAACTTGTTTTATCGTAATACCAGAATTATTTTTCTGGTTCCTTCTCATTTGGATAGGCTATGTCAGAGGGAAGATCTGGAACTCAAGTGCTGCTGTTCAGATTCTTTTGCTCCATGGGGTGCTCCTTTGATGTGGTGTTCTCCCCCTTCCCCTAGGGATGGGGCTTCCTGAGAGGCGAACTGCAGTGATTGCTTTTGCTCTTCTGGGTCTAGTCACCCAGCAGAGCCTACCAGGCTCTGAGCTGGTACTAAGGAATGTCTGCAAAGTGAAATAGACTCTGTGTGGGTCCTTGCTTGTATTTTTCTTTAGTGTGCTGGTTTTGTGTTGGTTGGCCTTCAGCCAGGAACACAAGAGTGCACCACTGCACTCTAGCCTGGGCGACAGAGCAAGACTCTGTCTCATTTTCCAGAGCGTATCAGCTGCAGCTGTATAAGCAGGATCAGGCAGTGGGTGGGGTTATAGAGCTCCCAAGAGATTATGTTCTTTGTCTTCAGCTGCCAGGGCAGGCAGAGAAAGACCACTAGGTGGGGACAAGGATAGGCCTGTCTGATCTCAGAGTCTCCTTGGGTGGGCCTTGCTGCAGCTGCTGTGGGGGATGGGAGTGTGGTTCTCAGCCCAATGGAGGTATGTTCACAGGGGGATTATGGCTGCCTTTGCTGAGTCACACAGGTCACCAGGGAAGTGGGGGAAAGACGGCAGTCACAGGCCTCACCCAGTTCCCACATAGCCTGCAGTCCACTTAGGAGCATGCTGACCAAAGTCAAGAGTTTCCCCATTCTCAAAACACTACAGAAATTTGATTTGTAGGCACTACATTTTTTTGCTTTCCCACCACCTCACTGACTGCTTTATCGTAATCTCTTTTACTAAATTTTTCCTATTTTACCTCTACAATTTGGGATCCCACCTGGTATAGTACTTAACTTCCTCCTGTTTTCTGTCTAGTAATTCCTTATATGATCTCAACCAGCTTGGGTTTTAAATAGACACAAGCAAAATTCCAATTTTGGTTACCAGTCAGTGTACATTAACTGTGGTAATTGCAATAAAGCACAACTGCTACCTCTTCAGTCCACAAATCACTATGCAAATAACGAATGTGCAACTTGATCAGTGACCAATCACGTTACTCCTTTCACTGCATGTCTGTTATTCAGCTCATGCACAGATGGCAAAGCATATAGCTATGTTTCTTGTCGCTCAGTGATATAACTGGATAATAGAGCTTTTAAGATACTACTCTTAATGCTTAATGTTTTTTTAATGCTCCAGATAACCGTGATTCTCTTGGGGACTTAAATGAAAATGTGAATATTTGCTTTCTACCATTAAACATAACTTCATTAATCCAGCCAATGGATCATAGAATTATTTCAACTTCTAAATCTTAGATGGACTTTCAGACAGAGTATTAAACCGGAGATCATACAATTTATCTGAGTTTTGTAAAAGCACATTGCCTTTGGAGTCTTCCCTACAGCTCTGCCTAGGGCCCAACTCATCAGATTTTGGACTCATTAAATCTCCACAATCACAGGAGCCAATTCCTTAAAATAAATCTCTTTCTCTCTGTGTGTATGTGGGTACATGTAAATATAAATATATAAATATAGATATAAAAATAAATATATATTTCTATGTATACACACCCTAATTCTGTTTCTCCGGATAACCCTAATATATATTATGTGTATATATTATGTATGTGTATTTCATGTCTCTCTCTCTCTCTCAAATTAGCTGGGCATGGTGGCGGGCGCCTGTAGTCCCAGCTACTCGGGAGGCTGAGGCAGGAGAATGGCGTGAACCCAGGAGGCTGAGCTTGTAGTGAGCGGAGATTGCACCACTGCACTCTAGCCTGGGCGACAGAGCAAGACTCTGTCTCAAAAAAAAAATGTAGGTATATATATATTTTTATTTTTTATATTTGAGACAGTGTCTCACTCTGTTGCCCAATCTTGGCTTACTGCAGCCTCGATCTCCCAGGCTCAGGTGATTCTCCCCACTTCAGCCTCCTGATTAGCTGGGACTACAGACATTACAGGCATGCACCACCATGCCCAGCTAATTTTTTGTATTTTTAGTAGAGACAGGGTTTTGGCATGTTGGCCAGGCTGGTCTCAAACTCCCGGACTCACAAAATCTATCCTCCTTGGCCTCCCAAAGTATGTATATGTATTTTTAAATGAAAACTTATTGGAGAAAAAGACTTTATATCAATACTGCTGTTTTTGTTGTTGTTTAAAACAGAGTCTCACTTTGTCGCCCAGGCTGGAGTGCAGTAGTACAATCTCAGCTCACTCCAACCTCTGCCTCCTGGATTCAAGCGATTCTCCTGCCTCAGCCTCCTCAGTAGCTGGGATTACAGGTGTGTGCCATCACACCTGGCTAATTTTTGTATTTTTAGTAGAGATGGGGCTTCACCATGGTGGCCAGGCTAGTCTCGAACTCCTCGGCTCAAGTGATCTGCCCACCTTTGCCTCCCAAAGTT
Source organism: Homo sapiens (assembly GCF_000001405.40). NCBI lineage: Eukaryota > Metazoa > Chordata > Mammalia > Primates > Hominidae > Homo > Homo sapiens. Next base: position 94,822 of record NW_003315918.1, read on the forward strand.
CTGGGATTACAGGCGTGAGCCACCACGCATGGCCTACTACTGCTCGTTCTTATGTGCCCCAGACCTAGAATAGTGCTGGGCATACTAAACAAATATTTGTTAAAAAAAAATACATTTTATCAATTAGAATAACAAAGATAGTTTTTAAGTCCTTTCACATCAAGTAGCTCATTTGATTTTCTCAAGGAGGCAAGAAGGCCTATAAATAGGAATCACCAGTATTTTATAGGGAAGAAATGCAGACTCAGAACGCTGGCATGAGGTTTTGGTGTTAGAGCCAGATTTCTTGCCTTTCAGCCTGCGTTTTGTCCATCTTATCCTGATATTCTGCTAGCACTTCTGGAAAACAAAAGGGTAATAGAGATGTCAGTTTTTTATGTTTTTGTTTTGTTTGGTTTTGAGAAAACCTTATGTAATTTTTCTTTCTTTTGGAGTGAACTGAATTCACTGGGGGAAGCATGTGCTGGAGGCCAGCAACATCCTGGCAGGTGTGAGTGGGTGGGCCTCTGAGGGCCGTGCTGAGGACACCTTGTTTACGTAGAGGAAACAGGACTGCAGAAAGGCATTTCTCCTTACACTTAAAATCCAGTTGTGCTGAAAATCTGGACCTACCCATAAGCTATTTCAAGCAGTCTTCACCAAAGCCATCCTTTAGAATGCTTTAGAATTTGATTTGCAAGTGGATTTTTCTGTTATGGGAGTCAGGGTTTATTGTGTGGTAGGAGGAGAATTTACTTTGGATATTCTTTTAATTCCTTCCATGTGCCCCAAATGTTTTTCTAATTGTTCCTCAGCTGAGAAGATAGCTTCATGAAGGAATAGAGGGAAAGGGTACCAATGTTTGTTGAAACAGGTGCCAGTCAGCCACACTGAGTGAAAACCAAACTGAGTCCAGGAACACGAGTTTGGTTTCAAGCTTCTTGTGCCATTTCCTGCGTGTTTGCCTGCTAAAGGGCAGTTGAGTGTTCAAAGCTATCCCTCTCAATTGAAAACTCATCTGACAATAATGAAGCGTGTCAGCTCAGAAAGGCATTAGGAGCTGGAGACATAGCCAAGTGCTTGTATTCAACATTGATTAATGAATTGGTTCTAATCTCAGAGCATCATTTTCACTTATAATTTTTAACTCAAAAAATTGATTTAAAAGTGCAATATAAGTTTAATTCTATTTTTTTCCCACTGTGTCTGGAGAACAAGTTTTTTTCTTGCATTTTTCCCTTTTTCCCTCAATTTACTTAAGCATAGATTTTATGTCATTCTCTCATCACATACCAAAAAACTTAGCAGTTGTGCCAATATAATAAATGTTGAAGTAAGAAAGACAGGGAGACAAATGGAAAAAAAAGAGAATACAAAAAGTATGGCTAACATTATGTAAGAAGAAAAATACAAATGGCTTTCTAGTAACCAAATAAGATGTACACATGAACTTCATAAATATCCTATTGCTTTGTGGAGACTTTCGTTTTATTTTAGAATAATTAAAAATAGTAATTAACAGTTTATTGAGTACTTACTTTATGCCAGGCTCTGTTCTCAGGACTACTCATGAAATAACTCACAGAATCCATACAGCAACCTTATGAAGGAGGTCTGAGGGGAGTCCCCATTTTACATGTGAATTACGCTGTGAGGCAAGGGAGCTGAAGTAGTTTGCCAAAGGTCACACACCTAGTAAGTAGGGGAACAGATTCAAACAAGAATGAGACAGACATTTTCTGTTATTTTTCACATGCAAAAATGTCTCTATTCTACCTCACCATTTGATTAATAATTCTGGGCTAAGAAATAATTTCTTTTAGAATTTGAAGGCTTGTTCTTATAACTTTTAACTTGTAATATTTTTTTGAGAAATCTAAGCCATTTTGATTTCTCATTCTTTGCATATGGCTAGTTTTTGGTTCTTGGGTTTAGTATCTTTTCATTATCTCTGATTTTGAAATTTTATGATAATGAGCATTAATAATTAATACGGGTTTTGAAAAAAATGTGCTGGACAGTTGATGGGCCATTTTATATGATACATGGTCTTCATTTTGGGGAAGGTTTATTTTCGTCCTCTTTTGATCCCATCATTATCCCTCTGATTTCTCTTTGGAGCATGCATTTATTCATTCAACAAATAGTTATCATGCCCCTCCCCTAGCAAGGCATTGTAATTCTGTGCTAGAGGTAATAGCAGTGAACAAAACATTGCCCTCATGGAGCCAATTTGATATTGGGCCTTCTTGATTGACCCTTTAATTAGCTTGTTTTTCCTGTAGTCCATCCTTTCAACTACTTTATATTATTTTCTGAAATATTTCCTTGGCTTTTTCTTCCATTTCTTTAACTGATTTATTTTTAATTTCAGTTCTTTCATTTTTAATTTCCAATTACTCTTTCTTGTTCTCTGATTTGTTTCTTATCTCTCTCTGAGAAAATTAATTGTTGCTTTTTTTTTTTTAAGTATTCTCCATTCCCTTCATAGCCTCTATTAACTCCAGATTGCTTTGTGGTTGTTTATTTGGGTCTCTTTTATGTTGGTGGCTTTCCCTAAATGTCTGATGATTCTTGTCTCTGTGCTCATACTTAAGAGTTAAGCACTAAAATACTGATTAAATTTTCTGCCTACATGTGTGAATATATACTCTGGTAAATTGCTCTAAATGTCAATTATGTGGCCAGGAGGTAAAGGGAGGAGAAAGTAGAATTGAGACTGGATGTAATTGTTAGGATCAGAATGTAGCATGCCTTGCCTACCAAGGTAAGCAGTTTAACCTTTACTTTATAAACACTGAGGAGCTAGATGATGGCTATACTTGAGGTGAGTTATTAGGAGTCTCTCCTTGTAGTCCTAGGATGCAAATTTTCTGTCTTTGTTTCATTCTCTCATAAATTTTTTTTCTGGTTATGATTATATTTTACTTGTAGTGACTAAATATTATTTATTCCTTCCACTTGCCATATGCATTCCCAATATAATTTAGTTCTTGCAATTTGAATAGAGGAATCAAGTAGTAACTCTAGTCAGTTATTCTCCTGCTGCCTAGGAAATCACTGAGTTCTAATAGATTGAAATTGCTTGTAGCCTCATGGGCTCTAAGAGTCAGTCAATAATGTGTATTTTCAAAGTAGATGTTTTAGTAACTACTCTTTTGGTAAAGTAACATTGTGAGTCTTCGATCTCCATACAAGAAAATAATCTTTATTTGTTCTAAATAATTCCAAGTAAATACATGATAGTTTTCAGTTCAACAGACTATACAAAAAAACATCAGAACAACTTCTTTTCCTAAAAAAAAGGCTGAAATTAATATGGTCTATAATCTGTGAAAATTACCATGTGTAAATGAAGAGGGACTATGTTCCTATTCAATGAATGCATATACTTATTGTTAAGCTCTAGGGTGTTTATTGTGTTCTCTCAGAGCCCTTTGCATTCCTAAGCTCTTGGAGATTTGACCTATGGTAACACTGCCCCTACCATAAGCAATGGGGTAATTGGCTTTAAAGTAAGGAAATGGCACACAACAGAACAAGAGATACCATAGTTCTCTCACTCAGATCCTTAATTTATTCAACAAATATGTATTGTGCATATATTATGAACCAGACACCACTGATAAAAGGCAAAATTCACATCTTGGTAGAGCTCTGCAGTGCCTCATGTAGTGCTAGACATCATACAGGCACCAAAAAAAAAATAGTTTGATATGAAGAAAGTAATAATTCATCTATGCCTGTGAAGAAGTCCTGGGAGGGCTTTTTAGCACTCTAATGGTTAAGCACAGTGGAATTTTTAGCACAGAAATTACAGAAAGGAGTCTTAGAAGTAATACGAATTAATGTCCCTGTCTGACAGCTTTGAAGAGAGTAGTGGTTCTCCCAGCACAGAGTTTGAGATCTGAGAACGGACAGACTGCCTCCTCAAGTGGGTCCCTGACCCACAAGTAGCCTAACTGGGAGGCATCCCCCAGTAGGGGCAGACTGACACCTCACACGGCCAGGTACCCCTCTGAGACAAAGCTTGCAGAGGAATGATCAGGCAGCAACATTTGCTGTTCAGCAATATGCGCTGTTCTGCAGCCTCCACTGCTGATACGTAGGCAAACGGTCTGGAGTGGACCTCCAGCAAACTCCAACAGACCTGCAGCTGAGGGTCCTGACTGTTAGAAGGAAAACTAACAAACAGAAAGGACATCCACACCAAAACCCCATCTGTACCTCACCATCATCAAAGATCAAAGGTAGATAAAACTACAAAGATGGGGAAAAAACAGAGCAGAAAAGCTGAAATTTCTAAAAATCAAAGCACCTCTCCCCCTTTAAAGGAACGCAGCTCCTCTCCAGCAATGGAACAAGCTGGATGGAGAATGACTTTGACGAGTTGAGAGAAGAAGGCTTCAGACGATTAAACTCCTCCGAGCTAAAGGAGTAAGTTGAAACCCATCGCAAAGAAGCTAAAAACCTTGAAAAAAGATGAGATGAATGGCTAACTAGATTAACCAGTGTAGAGAAGTCCTTAAATGACCTGATGGAGCTGAAAACCATGGCATGAGAACTACGCAACGAATGCACAAGCTTCAGTAACCGATTCGATCAACTGGAAGAAAGGGTACCAGCGATGGAAGATCAAATAATGAAATGAAGCGAGAAGAGAAGTTTAGAGAAAAACGAGTAAAAAGAAATGAACAAAGCCTCCAAGAAATATGGGACTATGCGAAAAGACCAAATCTACGTCTGATTGGTGTACCTGAAAGTGACACAGAGAATGGAACCAAGTTGGAAAACACTCTGCAGGATATTATCCAGGAGAACTTCCCCAACCTAGCAAGGCAGGCCAACATTCAAATTCAGGAAATACAGAAAACACCACAAAGATACTCCTTGAGAAGGGCAACTCCAAGACACATAATTGTCAGATTCACCAAAGTTGAAATGAAGGAAAAAATGTTAAGGGCAGCCCGAGAGAAAGGTGGGGTTATCCACAAAGGGAAGCCCATCAGACTAACAGCGGATCTCTCGGCAGAAACTCTACAAGCCAGAAGAGAGTGGGGGCCAATATTCAACATTCTTAAAGAAAAGAATTTTCAACCCAGAATCTCATATCCAGCCACACTAAGCTTCATAAGTGAAGGAGAAATATAATCCTTTACAGAGAAGCAAATGCTGAGTGATTTTGTCACCACCAGGCCTGCCCTACAAGAGCTCCTGAAATAAGCACTAAACATGGAAAGGAACAACTGGTACCAGCCACTGCAAAAACATGCCAAATTGTAAAGACCATCGAGACTAGGAAGAAACTGCATCAACTAAAGAGCAGAATAACCAGCTAACGTCATAATGACAGGATCAAATTCACACATAACAATATTAACCTTAAATGTAAATGGACTAAATGCTCCAATTAAAAGACACAGACTGGCAAATTGGATAAAGAGCCAAGACCCATCAGTGTGCTGTTTTCAGGAGACCCATCTCATGTGCAGAGACACATATAGGCTCAAAATAAAGGAATGGAAGAAGATCTACCAAGCAAATAGAAAACAAAAAAAGGCAGGGGTTGCAATCCCAGTCTCTGATAAAACAGACTTTAAACCAACAAAGATCAAAAGAGACAAAGAAGGCCATTACATAATGGTAAAGGGATCAATTCAACAAGAAGAGCTAACTATCCTAAATATATATGCACCCAATACAGGAGCACCCAGATTCATAAAGCAAGTCCTTAGAGACTTACAAAGAGACTTAGACTCCCACACAATAATAATGGGAGACTTTAACACCCCACTGTCAACATTAGACAGATCAACGAGACAGAAAGTTAAAAGGATATTCAGGAATTGAACTCAGCTCTGCACCAAGCAGACCTAATAGACATCTACAGAACTCTCCACCTGAAATCAACAGAATATACATTCTACTAAGCACCACATTGCACTTTTTCCAAAATTGACCACATAGTTGGAAGTAAAGCACTCCTCAGCAAATGTAAAAGAACAGAAATTATAACAAACTGTCTCTCAGACCACAGTGCAATCAAACTAGAACTCTGGATGAAGAAACTCACTGAAAACCACTCAACTACATGGAAACTGAACAACCAGCTCCTGAATGACTACTGGCTACATAACGAAATGAAGGCAGAAATAAAGATGTTCTTTGAAACCAATGAGAACAAAGACACAACATACCAGAATCTCTGGGACACATTCAAAGCAGTGTGTAGAGGGAAATTTATAGCACTAAATGTCCACAAGAGAAAGCAGCAAAGATCTAAAATAGACACCCTAACATCACAATTAAAAGAACTAGAGAAGCAAGAGCAAACACATTCAAAAGCTAGCAGAATGTGCAAGAAAAGTTGTGCAAGAAATAACTAAGATCAGAGCAGAACTGAAGGAGATAGAGACACGAAAAACCCTTAAAAAAATCAAT